>NC_000001.11:238305333-238456848 GCF_000001405.40 Homo sapiens
CCCTCACAGAGACCCTCTACTAGGGCAGTGCCAAGGGGAAATGTGGGGTTGGAGCTCCCACACAGAGTCCTCACTGGAGCACTGCCTACTGGAACTGTAGGAAGAAGGCCACCATTCCCCAGACCCCAGAATGGTAGATCCGTCAGCAGATTGCACCATGCATCTGAAAAAGGTGCAGGCACTCAACTCCAAGCCATGAGAGCAGCCACAGGGCCTGCACCCTGCAAAGCCACAGGGGAAAAGCTACCCAAGGCCTTGGGAGCCCACTCCTTGCACTGGTGTACCCTGGATGTGGGACATGGAGTCCAGGATTACTTTGGAGCTTTAACGTTTAATATCTGCCTTGCTGAATGTTGGACTTGTGTGGGGCCATTCTCCCTCTTGAAATGGGGATGTCTACCCAATGCCTGGACCACTATTGTATCTTAGAAATAAATAACTTGTTTTGATTTCATAGGCTGATAGGTGGATTTGAGTGATGCTGGAATGAGTTAAGACTTTTGAGGACTATTGGGAAGAGATTTTTGTATTTATGCAATGTATTTTTACAAATGTTTGCAACATTTTTGCAATGTTCTTCTCATGAGAAGAACATGAGATTTGGTGGGGGTTGAGGGATGGAATAATACAATTTGGGAGCTGTTTTTTCCCTCCAAATCTCATGTTGAAATGTGATTCCCAATGTTGGAGGTGGAGCTTGGGTGGGAGATGTTTGGATTTTGAGGGTGGATCCCTCACAAATGGCTTGGTACCCTCCCTGTCCTAATGAGTTCATGCAAGATCTGGCTGTTTAAAAAGACTAGCACCTTCCCTGCTCTCTCTCTTGATTCCTCTCTCTCTTGCTCCTACTCTCACCATATGATATGCCTGCTCCTTCTGTGCCTTCCACCATGACCAGACGCTTCCCAAGGCCTTCACCAGGAGCAGATGCCAGTGCCATGCTTCCTATACCACCTGCAGAACCATGAGCCAATTAAACCTCTTTTCTTTATAAATGACACAATCTCTGGTATTCGTTTATAGGAACACAAAGCAGACTAAGACAATGAGCTTGCTAGATCAGGGCATATTGCATGTCAGTTGAGGCCCTTCTCTTTGGCTTCATGTGAAGAGATTATTTTCACTTTGCAGTTTATAAAGTCAAAAGGATCTGTTGAGAAGAACTAGAACCACATGGTTAAAAGAACTACATATACTGGTTGTAACAGTTCATCTACTTTTCTGTCTACTCATTTCTGTCAACCACAAATACAAAAGGTTTAATCTAGAGAGTTGACGAAAATGCCAAATCATTGTGGGGCATAGAAGTGCTTTTGAGGAATCTCAGTTAATTGCTGAAGTTAGTTTGGAAAGGAAAAGGGAAACAATGTGAAGACCCTTGAATATACATGAAGGCCCAGGGCTCATGCTTAGTGATTTGAGTACCAGGCTGATTGGAAAATTAACTCAGACCTCTTCAGTTGATGGGGGCTAAAGTGGTTCCTGGCCTGGTCAGGATTGGTTTAGCACCAGGGGAAGATTAGGCCTGGGGCTGAAAGTCACCAGTTGCCAGAGCTGCAAATTTTTTAATGTACTAGCATCAACAGTAAGAATATCTCTTTTTATAAAGCATAATTACTGTCTAAAATGGAAAGGGGGGCTTTATAGTAAATTAGTCCTGTGACAGTCTCAATTCAAAACATTCAAACATCTTAAGCATATTTAAGTAAATTTTCTTATACTGACCTCTGAAGATAAAAGATAACAATTTCATTAATATTCCTAAAAGTGAATGCCATATGATTTTTGACCTAGGCTACATGTCTAGTATTTAAATAATTTGTTCTTGGAGAGTCTAGATGCCAGTGTTTCGATTTTAATATTATATTTTATATTAGAATACTTGTTAAGTCAGCAAGTGCAGCCTTAAAAAAGATACTATCATTTAATTGAAATATTCTGGTTCCTAGCAAAGTATGACAAATCCAACTCAAATTAATTATACCAACAATGAGACATTGCTGAATGTGAGTTCTGTCTCCTTGTGCTCTAAATTAGATCAGTAGAACAAAACAACTCTTTTGTTTTGTAAACAAAAGGATGCAAATTGGCCTAATTGAAAAAAAAACAAACAGAATGTACAACAAGGTACATATCTCCTTTTATTGAAATTAATTAACAGATGTGTAATAAAAGTTAAATAAAATTTTATTTCTTACAATAACATCTCTTTCTTAAGACACACATCCAAATATCAGATTTTTTTGTGAAATGCTTATTTGTTTAGAATTGCTACATATGTTTGTGCTGTTTTATGTTTTTATTAATTCAGGCATCACAGAGTTTGCTAAGTCTGTATTTCTTCTCGTTACTTTACCTATTCTAGGAAATTATCATGTATTCATAAATTCTAAGAATGTTAACATTTTAAAAGACACATTTTGCTACCCATTCTCTTTGAGAGCAAAAGGTTAAATCAAATGACACATTTTCCTGATTCTAAAAATATTGTAAATCAGTAGAACAAAGCAATTGCTTTGAGTTTAAAATGTGTATCAATTAGAAAAATATTTTTGTTTTCATTTGTAAAATATTGCAGCCAACTGCCAACAGTTTGGCAGTTTCTCAAAAAGTTAAACATAGAACCACCCTACCATAGGACTCAGTAATTTCACTCCTAGGTATATATCCAAAAAGAATTGAAAGCAAGGAATTGAACAGATATCTCTATACTAATGATCATAGCAGCATTATTACCAACAGTCAAAAGGTAAAAATAACCCAAGTGCCCATCAACAAATGAATGGACAAATAAAATGTGATATATGCAATGAACACCAGTCATTCAAAGAACGAAATTGTGATAAATCTACAACATGAATGGGCCTCGAAAACATTATGCTTAGTGAAATAAGCTAGACATGGAAGAACACATATTGTATGATTCCACTTGCAGGAGATGCCTATAATAAACAAATTCATAGAGACAGAGAACCGAATGGAGGTTACATGAGGCTACGGGGAAGGGAGGAGTGGGAATTATTGTTTATTGGGCATAGATTTTATGTTGGGAATAATGAAAAAGTCTTGAGTATAGATGCACAGCATTATGAATATAATTAATGCCATCGAATTGTACACTTCCAAATAGTGAAAAGGTAAATAATATATTACATATATTTTATCTCAGTAAAAATAAAAGGAAACACAAATCCCATTCCATTTATTTCAACAAATATTTGTTAATTAGTACTATGCATGACACTTAACAAAATAGCCTCCATTCTGTTTTCCCACTAGATACTTATATTCTAATATGATGGATGACAACAAGAGCTATGAGGAAGTTAAGGAAGAAGAATTGTGTTGATATGGGTAGGGAGTTGCATAAAGGAGAAAGAGGTTGGTGGATTGTTAAATTGCCAGCGATGGATATTGAAAATACCAATGACAGGATAGACACATAAGGAGAAGGAAGGGCACGAGGAGAAATACTGATGCAGGAGACAGCACAATTGTGCAGAAGCACAGGGCTGCTTAGCAAAAGTGGAGTGAGAGATCAGGCTACAGGCAGAGAGGCATTTTGAGAAACTGAGATTACGGGGTTCCACTGTTGATAATCTAGTGTCTTTTTGACCTTGAACCATTTTTACTTGTTACCTTTCACTCAGGTCTTTGGGTGGTCAGGCGCTCTATTCTCAGTATTAAGAGAAAAAATGAAATATAAATTTCCTAGTTCAGTGTCATGAATGTTCAGATGCTTTTATGATATTGTGTAATTTGCTTCTTCTGAGCCAGCATAGAAGTCACCTAGGTTCCTTACAAATCAGTGACTGTGGCAGGCAGAAAAACAGCCCCTCACCCCAAAGATGTTCATGTTCTAATCCCCAGAAAATGAATATGGACATAGGTATAAGGGTGAATTAAGTTTGCAGATAGAGTTGAGGTTGCTAATCAACTGACCTTAAAATAAGATTATACTGGATTTTCTGGATGGCTCAATGTGATTACAAAGGTGCTTTCAAATGCCAGAGAGATGGCACCATAGGACTTTACTGGCCATTGCCGCCTTAGAAGATGAAAGCAGGCCCTCACCCAAGGTTTGCAGGCAGCTTCCAGAAGCAAGGAAGTGAATTTTCTGCCAGGGCCTCTAGAAGGAATAAAGCCCTGCAATAAGCTTGAGTTCAGCCCAGTGAGGCTTGTTTTAACTTACCTCTAGAACTGTAAGATAATACATTTATGTTGTTTTAAGGCACCAAGTTTGTGGTAGCTTGTTAACAGCAGCAATAGTAAACGAATCTAGTGACAGATCAAATACAGGAACAGAGACCTTGATGATCTTTCTCTTCTTTACTCTTGAAGGTTTTTCTCTCTGTGGTGACATACAACTGCACTAAGGGTTTCTCAGCATTGGCACTGTTCACATTTTTGGCTGGGTAATTCTTTGTTGTGGGGGCCATCCTGTGCATTGCAGCATGATTAGCAGCACCCCTGGCCACAACCTGTTAGGTGCCAGGAGCTTTCTTCCTCTAGTGTGACATTAAACATGTCCTCAGATCCTGTCAGGTGTTCCCTGATGAGCAAATTTACCCCCAGTTGAGAACTGTTTACCTGGACTTATCCTTAGGGATATGAGTTTATCACCAGCATCTTTGAGTTTTTGACTTTCAATTCAAAAATGCTGCCTGAACTTTTAGACTATGGAGAGATTAAGACTACAGATGGTTCCCTAAAAGTAAGTATCCTCAAAACAATCCTAAAACGAATTAGACAGGTCTTGCAAGGAAAAGAGGATAGGTGGAGAACAATGAGCTCTGTGTGTATGTAGACCACATGCCATCTTCATATTCTACAGAAGTCCACACAAGAAAGAGAAGTGATGAGTTTCCATGCGGGGAGAAGAGCTTCTCTTCACTCAGGGAATCATTAGAAATTTAAGAATTGTGAATTTAAGGGATCTGTGCTCAATGATTTGTCATGAAATATACCAGTCGAGACTGCACAGAACATTTTATTTTTTTGAGATGGAGTCTCATTCTGTCACCCAGGCTGGAGTACAGTGGTGCGTTCTTGGCTCACTGCAACCTCTGCCTCCTGGGTTCAAACAATTCTCCTACCTCAGCCCCCCGACTATCTGGGATTACAGATACCTGCCACCACACCTGGCTAATTTCTGTATTTTTAGTAGAGACGGGGTTTCACCATGTTGGCCAGGCTTGTCTCAAATTCCTGATGTCAGGTGATCTGCCCGCCTTGGCCTCCCAAAGTGCTGGGATTACAGATGTGAGCCACCGCGCCTGGCCAAGACTGCATAGAACATTGACTTTCCTTTGGTTACTTGAACCATATCTGTACTGCTTTGATTTTTTGACTATGGTTAGGTTGTGTAAGCCAGGACATTCTTAAACTGTATAAACATATATTATTATGGTAACTGTATTCTCAGAATGAAGAATCAGTCCATTTACCGTGCTTTGAGATTCTCCACTTTGGGAATTGTCCGTGGCTTCCACTGTACTATCTATTTGGATTCTGACTGCTGGCAGGAGGAGAACCAAGCCAGTGCCAAAGTCTTGCCAGAGTGGCAGAGTATATGGGAGTGTGTGCATGTTTGTGAGTGTTCAGGTGACAATGTGCTCAGTTGAGAGCAGCCTTCTCGTTGCAATTCAATGCCAACTAGAAAAGATTTAGAATATTCTACTGTTTATTTTGTCACCTCCACAATTGAAGAAGATGGAGGATGCATTGCTAAAGACCAATAAAATTGCATAGGGGTGTGTGCGTGTGTGTATGTTAGTTGTAGCAAAGGAGAAGTAAAGCACATTTTACCAATTGACTAGTTGCCTTATTGAACCTGGTTCATTCTTCCCACGCATAGCAAGCCAATCACTGAGATGACAGAGTTTGCAAAAGAGGTAGGGATTATTCATGAGGCAGCCAAGCAAGGAGGCAGGAGAACAGGTTTCAAATCCACCTTCCTAAAGATAGGGCTTAGGGATATTTATGGGTTACAGAAGTGGGGTGGTCTAAGACATAGAGAAAGGTGACTGGCAGTGGGAAAAATGAACTAATCAGTTATCTATACAAACATCGTGTTCATGGCATTTCATGGGATGTATTTTTCAGAGAATGGCAGCATTAGCATGATGACAGGGTGAAGTATTTGTGTCTGTGAGGTCAAAAGGCCACCACTCAGGTATTTCCACAGCCCCAGTTGAAGGGTCAGTGGTCTCAACCAGTTTGACCTGGATGGGAGCTACCCCTAAGCTCCTAAAGAACAACTTAAGTGATTGTTACCATGGTGACTTAAAAAGGTTATCTATAAGGTACCCAAGGAAGGTTAAGTTACAGTGTTCAGCAGCATAGCCTTCAGCTACTGCAGCCTTCAGTTTCATGGAAAAAAAAAAAAACTGCAAGACACCAAAATCAAGCAGAGCAGGCTAAGTTTGGCAGACCGCATCAGATTAACTCCTCAGTGTCAGTTGTAGCATTGCATAGTAGGGAAATCTCCAGCTGATCCAGGCTTGCATTCACAGGGTTTCAATATTAGGATGCTGAGATTCTGATAGGCAGAGAATTGTAGAGGGCTTATTACCATACAGAAGCTGCCAGCCGGGCACACTGGCTCACGCCTGTAATCCCAGCACTTTGGGAGGCCAAGGCAGGAGGATCAAGAGGTCAGGAGATTGAGACTATCCTGGCTAACACGGTGAAACCCTGTCTCTACTAAAAATACAGAAAATTAGCCGGGAGTGGTGGTGGGCACCTGTATTCCCAGCTACTCGGGAGGCTGAGGCAGGAGAATTGCTTGAACCTGGGAGGCAGAGGTTGCAGTGAGCTGAGGTTGCACCACTGCACTCCAGCCTGGGCAACAGAGCGAGACTCTGTCTCAAAAAAAAAAAAAAAAAGTTACCTCCACTTCTCTTCCCAGTCTCCTGGTTTCTTAGTCCACTTGGTCTGCTGTATAAAAATACTATGGACTGAGTGGCTTATGAATATTATAAGTTGATTTCTTACGTTTCAGAAGACTTGGAAGTTCAAGATTAAGACAGCAGCAGATTCACAGACAGCCACCTTCTCGCTGTGTCCTCACATGGTGGAAGGGGCAAGGGAGACTACTGGAATTCTTTTTATAAGAGCACTTTCTCCATTTGTGATGCCTTCTCCCTCGTGATCTAATAACCTCCTAAAGGCTTTATCTCCTAATACCACGTCCTTAGGGGAGATTAATGGGGTACATTTGAATTTTGAGGAGACACAAACATTCGGTCTGTAGCACTTGGTGATGTTTAGGTAACATTCTGAAGCTAATTCAGTTTGCTTTTGCCAGCTGGGACTTACACATTTTGGTATCTATCAATAAGAACACGGAGACACAGGCATGACCTACTTTCTAACACGAGGCCAGGATAGCTTCAAAACCTCCGAACTTAAAAAATAGAGTCCACACCGTTCTCTGAAACTAATTCATGCTTTTTCGTCATTAAAACGATTTGCCACAGCTGCTAATTGGTTCCCAACATCAAACCTTTAGCAAGGCCTACAGGAAAGACTTTCTCTTCTTAACAAATGACTCATAGGACCTGTGGGATTTTTGTTTTAACCAGACTTCAACTATAAGAAAACTGGTGGACCTCCCTCCTACCCAGCCACCAAACTTTGAGAATTTACTTTCCCTTATGTAATGTAGTCATTTCAGAGATGAAACTCTTGAGTGAACCCCATTTGCCTTTCCCTCAGTTCAGCACATTAGTTTTCTCTAAAAGGCCTTTCTGTTCAAAAGCTGTCTCAGGATTTGAAGGCCATGCTTACAAGCTGCAGTGGAGCTAATAGGTAGGTCTTCCATCATCACTGGGTTGTTGAGTTTAATCCATTAAATGTAAGCATTAATCACTTTATTTCATCAGCTGTGCTCCCATCTGCTAATAGGTCAAGCTTGCCCTTGAAGCAATCCTTTGTTAGATATAATTCCATGAGTTGTAGGAGCAATTTAATTTTTGCAAGAAATCCTAAACATGTTTGAAGCTCAGTTGAGAATTTTCGTCTCTGCAAATGGACATGTGAGTCAGCAGAGCAGATACTGAGTGGAAAGCTGATGTTTCCCCTCCTATTATCCTTTTCCTCTCTAAATAAGCATTTAGCAAGTAATCAATTTGATGCTGAATTTAACATTTCTTTTTGAGAGTGAAGGGGAATTTTGAGTGGCCCTCAGTAAAACTCCTGGGCCTAACTTTATTTTCCCTTACTTCAAGCACAAAATTTTTACTTTCTATGTTTTCTCCTCTCAAGCCTTTGGTCTTTACTGATTGAGAGAAAAGAGACCTAACGTTGTTTGATAGTGCTTTGTTTATACTGTGAAAGTAATAAAAATGTCTCCTATAGTAGAGCATTTCATAAAGGCAAAAGACTTTCACTTGTGCAGTCTCATTTGCTTCTCTCAACCATCCTGTGGACATGTGTTAGGTGCAAAAAGTCACCTGTCAGTGTGATACAGCAGGAGGGGCACTGGCAAGGAACTCAGAACCTGTGTTTTATTTCACTTCTGCTACTTTTAGGTTTTGGCTTCGAGCAACTCAGGGACCCTCTGTGGGTCTTGATTTCTCTGATGTAAAATGGAATGTCTAGGCAGCAGGGTGAGTGTGGTGGTGTACCAGTCATGTCGACTTCTATACCCCTAGAATATCTAGTTATTTAAATGTCAGAACAGGAACCAGAACCCAGCTCTTCTGATTCCTAGCTGCTTTTCCATTCCACTATCTGTGGTAGGCAGAATAATGGCCCCTCAAAGCTGTGCACATTCTAATCTCTGGAACCTGTGAATGTGTTACCTTACATGATGTATTGAGCAGGGTTCTCCAGAGAATCGGAACCAGCAAGTTCTCTCTCTCTTTCTCTCTTCTCTCTCTCTCTCTCACTACATCTATATATAAACACACACAGATATGTATATGTAATGTATATGTATGTGTTTGTGTTGTGTGTATTTGTGTATACATATAAAGATTTATTATAAGAATTGGCTCATGCAATTATGGAGGCTGAGAAGTTTCACAATCTATCATCTGCAAGCTGGAAAACCAGGAAAGCTAGTGGTATAATTCCATTTGAGTCTGTGGGCCTGAGAATCAGATGAGGGGTTCCTAGTGTAACTCCCAAAGTCTGAAGGTCTGAGAACCAGGAGCTCCAATGTCTGAGGGTAGGAACAGATGGATTCCGCCTCAAGAAGAAAGAGAGTAAACTCATCCTTCCTCTGTCTTTTTTTTTTTTGGTGTGTGTGTGTGTGTCGGGGGGGGGGGGTTATTTTGTTTTGCTTTGTTTTGTTTTTGTATTCAGGCCCTCAGAGGATTGGATGATATCCACCTACATTGGTGAGGGTGGATCTTCTTTACTGGGTCTACAAATTCAAATACAAATCTCTTTCGCAAACACCTTTACAGGCACACCCAGAAATAAAATTTTATCAGCTATCTGGGCATCCCTTAACCTAGTCAGGTTGACATATAAATTCAACCATCTCACAGGGCAAAGGAATTCTGCAGATGTGATTAAGTGAAGAATTTTGACATAGGCAGATTATCCTGGATTATTCAAATGTCCCTAATGTCATCACAATGGTCTTTGTAAGAGGGAGGCAGGATCAGTCAGAGGGAGAAAATGTAAGGATGGAAGCAGAGGTCAGGAAGGAGAAATGATGATACACTACTGGCTTTAAACGTGGAGAGTGAGGCATTGAGGCTAGGAATGTAGGTGTCCTCTAGAAGCTGGAAAAAGTAAGAAAAATGATCCTCTCCCAGAGGCTCCAGAAGGAATGTAGCGCTATAGACATCTCAATTTTAGCCCACTGAAATGGATTTTGGACTTCTGACCTTCAGAAATGCAAGATAAATTCCTGTTGTTTCAAGCCACTAAATTTGCGATAATTTGTTATAGGAGCAATAGGAAACAAATACACTACCCCATTCTTCAAGCAACTGAAATTTTTCAAGATATTGCTATCACTTACATTGATTTTATATATATATCTTCTGTATGTTAGATGCTAAAGGAAATGCCACTTTTAAATAGCTTTATTTTCTACTCTCCCGATAGTCATTAAATTGAGGAGTTTGAGGAGGACCCTAGCGGTCTCAGTTAATACAATTTACTTGATTAATTCAACTGGGAAACAATAGAGGATATAGATGATAAAAATAATTATAGCTGTGGAAGACAGAATGGGAAGGGTGATACTGAAATCTTAATTCTTTCAAGAAAAAAAAATCTGATAGAAGATGGTACCAAAACTAGAGGAAACTAATTTGATAGTGCAATTATTTTTGTACATGTGAATTGTTCCCATGGATGGTGATTAAGGCCATAATGTCCATTTTAACTTTGGATACTAAAAACTTTTCTTACCAAAATTCCTTGAAATTTTCACATGATTGAAATTTGTTTGACAGAAGACATGCAGCTGATCTTAGAGAACATTTCTTGTGTAGTTAATTCCCAAGAAATAAAATTAATCTAAAACAAATCATTTTACATTAAAATTGACATAACAAAGTAAATTGCTTTAAAGCAGTGGAAGGATGACTGAATAGGAGACAGAAGTGTATTTTGACTAAAGAGCAAGCCCACGTAGATTAAATATAATTTCTTTATTATAAAAAAGGAACTTCATAAGCAGGAACTTCATAAGCATATCAGCATCTTTTGTGCTTTTTAATAATTTTTTTATGGTTAAATTTTAATTTATTTGGTGAAAACACCAGTGGAAGCACCATTTCTCTTGCATGCTCTCAATTTCCTCAGCTCCCTTGGGCCTCAGAGTAGTGACTTAATAAAAATGTAAGCACCTGGTGTCTTAGCCAAAGGCCCTCTGTAGGGAGGGAACTAGAGCTTTGGGGGAACTAGAGCTTTGGGGAAGCAGTTGGTTCCGGAATCTGATTGTGTGGAGTTGAATCTCGCTCTGCCATTTTCTAATTGTGCACCACTGGGCAAATCTCTTCACTGTAATGGGTCCTTTTTTCTTCACATTTAAAATAAGGACATAAAATCAATATTTCCCTCACAGATTACATATCTTGATATGTAACGACTTAATGTACTCTTGGGCACATGATCAACATTCAATAAACCAGAGATATTGTCCTCATTCAAGTATTGTTGTCAAGTCTTCTGTAGATATTTCAAAACTGCTGCACCAGTTTCTCCCCTCATTGATTCTCCTGTTGTGCCATAGTACTATTTACAGCAGCGAAAGCCATTGTCCCTTGTTCAGCCTTGCTTGATCCATCTGAAATTGTCCTGTTCTTCCCTCTTTAAATATCTTATAATCTCCTTTTATTCATCAAAGTGTAATTAGATGAAGTCTGAATTCTTTACCTTTGTTCTGAAACAAGCTTGTGTTTGTTTGTATGCTTAACTAGAATGTCTTTCAACCAATGTTAGACATATTACATTTGTGATCTCAAATCTCAAATCGGATGTTGCCGCTATCCAGCATGTCTACTAAACTCCTCAGTGTGTTCACTTTCTCATTCGCCAAAATGACAAATACATGCCTGCTTTCCTACTCAAACATCCTATACCAAACTCTCCTTTCCCCCCTTCCTAGCTTATAAACTTGGGCCATTTTAAAAAACACACATTTAGAAGCTACCCCAGTCTTCTTTCTATGAAATCTACCGATCCATTTGTGTCCCTAGCACACTTTCAGCTTTTCATCCTGTGAATACTCACTAAGGTATGTTGACTGCTGAGAGGAAATGCTCAGCGTCTCAGTGGCTTCTCCCATGATAGTTTGCTTATCGCTCACTTGAAGTCCATGCATCTGTTCCTGGTCATGTAGCTTTCCTGGACAGCTTCTCTTCAAGCAATGCTTTAGAGATTCAGATCACTTTCTTGATATGAGGTCATCTGCAACATGTGGCTTCTGTGATCACCATAGAGGCAAAAGATGGTGGAGAAGGCATAACTGCTTCAGCTCAGAAGTGACACTTTCTTTCTTTATTCCCTCTGTGGGAATCAATCTCATGGCCCTACCTGGGAGAAAGACAGCTGTAAACAATAGTTGTCTGATGGGGAAGAGGAGCTGCCTTGGTTGCATGGTCAGTCACATTATGAATGAATTCTTGTTCGTATAAAATGCAACTCCTTCTTCACTCGAGTTCTGTGCTCTATTCTCACTCAACTTATTGGACCTCCGTTCTGGAAATTATTACTTCTCCTGTTGAGCAATTTCTCTTCTTCTATTAGATCATTACTATTAGTATATAAACATGCTCTAATATCACCTACCATAAAAGACAAAAACATTGAAAAAGAACCCTTTTTTGGTCCCTTTTTCCTTTCCAACTACCACCTAATTTTTTAATAGCACTCAAACATCTTCAAACATAATCCCATTTCAATGTGCTTTCTGTTTCTTGGTAGTACACTAACTTATAGAAAAATTTGGTTTGGTAGAAACCAGCTTTTAACTTTTCCCCTCGTTCTCACTTGGCTACATTTTAGAACTTACCTTTTTTCCCCATTTTGTCTCTGATTTCCATTGTAATTTCCTTACCTGTAAGAATAAATGAATGTCTGTTTTTATCTTCATAATAAATTATACCTTTTAATAGTTAAGAAATAAGAATTTCATAGGAATCCTTCAATATTTCTGCTAGAATAAATGTTATATTCATTTGTTTTCATTTAAACAAATCAAAAAAAGTAAAACAAATAAATGACTAATTTTTATCTTCTTAAGCTAACTTTGGTGTGTACATGTGATATGGTTTGGCTGTGTCCTCACCCAAATCTCATCTTGAATGGTAGTTCCCATAATCCCCACATGTTCTGAGAGGACCTGGTGGGAGGTAATTGAATCATGGGAGCGGTTACCCTCATGCTGTTCTCATGATAGTGAGTGAGTTCTCATGAGTTCTTATGATTATATAAAGGACTTTTCCCCCTTTTGCTCAGCACTTTTCCACGTTGTTGGCATGTGAAGAAGGACGTGTTTGCTTTCCCTTCCACCATGTAAGTTTCCTGAGGCTTCTCCAGCCATGCTGAACTGTGAGTCAATTAAACCTCTTTCCTTTATAAATTACCCAGTCTCGGGTATGCCTTTATTAGCAGTGTGAGAACAGACTAATTACAACATGGTACACTGGACCTTTGGCCTCTCCATTTCTTCCTGCTCCTCCCACACTGGCCAGCATGCTGCCCTTTTGCATGTTTAGTAAGTGACATATTGAAGAAGGAAATGTACTGACTATTTGCTTCTTGTTGGCAAGACTAATAAAAGTCACTCTAGTAAAATTGTGATGCATTTGCCTAAAATGAGGCTTTCTGGATTACAAGCAGATTTCATTTATCATAATATCCCTGTCCTCCATAACCATGAGTAACATAATTGACTCTGATTTAATCCTCTATTTCAAATATGCAGGTCATTCCAGAGTTAAACTCCTGTAAGTAAGAAAAATGAATATTGCTGTAATTGAATAGCTAAATTGGCAGAGCATTCAACATGAGATAAATTAGGAAGAAATTGACAGTAAGAACTATCTTTTCCCTGACACCAGAAGCACAACATGAAGAAAGCCAATTAAATCGAACATCTCATCAACCCATTAACAAGTGTAGAATTACACTTTAGGGTTTATTTTTCCAACGCAACACTTCATTTAAAGCACAGTGTTAGGGAACTGGAGATATATTTTTAAATACACACACACATATGTGTGTGCATATATATCTATATTTTAACTTATAATAAACATACATGTATCTATATTTTAACTTGACAGTCTAAATAATTTGTTACTATTCAGCTTGGAGATTTAAAACAAATTAAGCCAAGCTATAAAAATATTATCCATGATATACCAGATAAGGGTAGCACACTACAACCTTCCATTATACATTAATAACATGTTGATCTCTGACCATACCAGAGTTAAAACCAACTGGGAATCTGAGTGACTTTAAATAGGACATGCACTCTTTTACACCCTCAAATTTCATTCATTTATATTCTCTGACCCCTGAAGTTGTTTGAGTTTATACTATCTGTTTCAGATAATTCAGGTCTTCATGAAATAATTCAAAGCCCCATCTGCTATTTCTTTGGCAGGGGTTGGGCGTCAATTGAAACTACCACAGTTCCTCACCTAACCCACCTGAGGTGTAATTTTAATAGCCAAAAGACGAGAGCAAAGTATTATGTACTAGAGCATGGCTTAGAAATAAAAGGACCTGAGGGAAGAAAAAAGAAAACATAGCGAAAGTTTAATTCCGTTCTTTGAACTCTTCCAGACTAAACAAGACAGAACAAACTCCCTTTTCCCTTGATAAAAAGGTAAATAGTATAATTAAACACTTATCCAAAGAAAAGTGTTTATATAAAATATAAAATACTTATCCAAAGAAAATATAAAATCCTATTTACTTATCTGTTTCTAAGTTCTAGGTATCATCCTTACCACTGAAGCTATAAAGACAAGCAAGACTCTCATTCATTCAGTCATCATTCAATCATTTACACATATGTATTTACTATGACTAGGGTTTTGGGTAGCATAGTGAGCAAAACCAGAAATGGATCCTGCCTTTGTGAAGTATACAGTCCCTAGGGCTTTGGGAGGCTGGGGTGAGGGAATGACTTTAGGCCAGGAGTTTGAGACCAGCCTGGGCAACATAGTGAGACCCATGTCTCTAAAAAATATTTTAAAAACTTAGCTGGGCATGGTGGTGCATGCCTGCAGTCCTAATTGAAAGGAGTCAGTCAGCTTGCTTTAGGCAAATAGGAAGGAAGGGGTTCCCGGAGAACCTCCAACCTGTGTTTTGTGCAAATAAGGCAACCTGCACAGGAGCTTGCCTAAACATGCCCACGGCCGACTAAGGTCCTGTATGTGCACTGGGGGAATGGGGTGGTGACACCAGGAATTCGCGCCTTATACAAATAGGGAATCCAGCCCCATTGGCTTATATGTAAAAGCCCTTGTATTCAACTGTTAAGGAGGTAACAAGGACCCTGCTTTCAGGTCCCCACTCTTTGCTGACAGCTTTACTTTCACTTAATAAACTCTACTCCAGGACCGGGTACAGTGACTCACGCCTGTAATCCCACCACTTTGGGAGGATGAGGCGGGCAGATCACAAAATCAGGAGATCGAGACCATCCTGGCTAACATGGTGAAACCCCGTCTCTACTAAAAATACAAAATATTAGCCAGGTGTGGTGGTGGGTGCCTGTAGTACCAGCTACTCAGGAGGCTGAGGTAGGAGAATTGGAAGGCGATTGAACCTGGGAGGCAGAGGTTGCCATGAGCCGAGATTGCACCACTGCACTCCAGCCTGAGCGACAGAGCGAGTCTCTGTCTCAAAATAAATAAAGAAATAAAATAAAATAAATAAACTCTACTCCACTCACTCTCCGGTGTCCGTGTGCCTAATTTTTCCTGGTTGTGAGACAAGAACCTGCACCTAGCTGAGCTAAGGAGTAAAATATCCTGCATAATTTCTACTTGAGAGGCTAAGGCAGGAGGATCGCTTGAGCCCAAGAGTTCAAGGTTGCAGTGAGCTATGCTTATAGCACTGTACTCCAGCCTGGCTGAACAAGCAAGACCCCTATGCAAAAAATAACAATAATAATAATAAGTGTACAGTCTAGCTTGTGAACTGTATCTAGGTGATACAAGTGAAATTAACATATGCAATGAAATAAATGCTCAAGTGGTGGTCAAATGAAAGTCTATAATAGGGAGATTTGACTCAGGGAAGTCAGAAAATGTCTTCCCTGAGAAAGTGATACTTGAGCTGAGAGTTCAAGGATAAACAGGCATTGAGTAGATAAAGCCAGGTATTTTTGATGAATAGACATTGGCAGGTTGAGCTCAGAATTTGGATCTCCATCATTAGATTAACAGGAAATAATTGCTAGAATTTAAACATAAGTAATAGTGAAGTTTTTTATTTTCAGAAAGAATACTCTGAGTGAAATGTTGAGAATAGTCAGAGTATCTGCAGCCAACCTGGTTAGAATGCTATAGATTCAGTCTATATAAGAGATGGCTATTGCTTGGACTTTGGTGGAGATAACAGAAGTGAGGATTCAGAAGGTAAAATCTAAATTTTGTGATAGGGTGAAGTGGGAAAAGGTGAGTGAGAGAGAAGAGCCAAGAATGATAGCTGGTTTCCAACTTTTTCAGCAGAAGCTCTTGTTTCTGTTCTTTGAGATGGGCAGTGCTGGAATCGGACTAGGATTTTTCTTGGAGGAGGCTGAGCTCATAAATGTGTTCTTTTGGACATATTTAAACATATTCTCAAAGATCCGAGTCTGATGAGGGACACAGATAAACCTACACGTACAGTAAAATGCCACAGATGCTACAGTGGAGGTGTGTGAGAGGTGTGTGCTCACAGAACAGGAATGAAAAGCTTATTCTCCAGGCGTGGACAAGGCCTTTAGTGAGAGTAGCACCTGATCTAGGATTTCAAGGGTAAGCTGGAGCTTTCCAGGTGGATAAATGGGTATAGGGTTAAGGATGTAAAAGAAGACTTAAAAGGCTGTGAAAATAGTGCACGTTGGGCAATAAAAAGAATACAGAAATGGAACTACTTGATGTGTTCCAAAATTATGACACGTTCCACACGTCTGAAGGAGTTTTGAAGGAATAGCAGGATATGAGGCTGAACATGTATGAGATATTAAAGTCTTTAAATTTGTGATGACTATGATTTATATCCAAACTGCTCTGCTTTTTAGGGTGAAAGTGAAAGCTATAAGTAATTTTGACAAGATAGTCAGTGTGAACTGAGACTGTCTGGGGAAAACTGGGATGTGAAGCTACTCTACACTCTGAAAGTGACTGATTCCCAGAAGCCATGGGGAGCTGTCGGAGATCTTTTAAGCAGGGCAGGGAAGCAACTGGATGAAAATTTTAGGAAGGTCACGTCACTGAGATACCTCTGTGCAAGTGGATACAGAATTGGCTTGGTCCTTTTAAGATCTAAATGATTATTATATAAATAAACCTTTTTATCATGTGGCTATCACATACTTTCTCAGGTTCTATTTATTGTGATGCAACCAAAATTAACACTTGTTTAGGCCGGGTGTGGTGGCTCACGCCTGTAATCCCAGCACTTAGGGAGGCTGAGGTGGGTGGATCACGTGAGGTCAGGAGTTCGAGATGAGCCCGGCCAACATAGTGAAACCCCATCTCTACTAAAACTACGAAAATTAGCCAGGTGTGGTGGCAGGTGCCTGTAGTCCCAGCTACTTGGGAGGCTGAGGCAGAACAATTGCTTGAACCCGGGAGGCAGATATTGCAGTGAGCCAAGATTGCACCACTGCACTCCAGCCTGGGCAACAGAGTGAGACTTTCTCTCCAAAAACAAAACAAAACAAAACAAAAAAACTTGTTTATTGTTTAAAGTGGCAAGATCATTTATTAAGGCATTTGAACATTAAGAACAAATGTGTATGTAAACTTGCATAAATCTTAGTCAGATATCTGGAGAGGACAACACAGTTTTAACCTACTTTGGGGTTCTATAGCCATCTGCCACTCTCCATTGTGGTCCAGGCTAATCTATGTTTTCTAGTCCTTCTTCATAAGCACCTTTTGCCTAGTTGCAGGGCAAGCTTTCATATGTCTTGAATACCTGTGATTCTTACCCCATTGTTCTCTCCATAATCTGCGTTCTACCACTATTCTGGTATATTGTAGCATCACAATGATGCTGTTTTGCTCTGTGTGTTAGCCAGAGGCTGGGGAGGGTAGAAAGGACTGCCAAGCAGGGAGGGTAGAAAGGACTGCCAAGCAGAGAAAGAAACATGAATCAGAACCAGCTAATACAGGATGGGAGAGTACATGTGCCATTATCAAACACACAGAGGAGTGAATAAGAAGCAAAGGTAGCAGATATTAAGAACTAAGCTTTGGAGATATTGATATACTTTGAGTCCAGAGAAGGAGCTAAGATGAGAAGCTGGGGGAGTCCGTGTTGTGGAAAAGGGCATAGTTGGGTTGGCGTGTGCATTCATTCTCAGTTTCTGCCCTGACAGAATGTTTGCACGTTTTTGCAAGTCCTTAAATTCTTCAATTTCATTCAAACTGTGTCCCTCAGTCAAGGTGCCTCCAGGGACCTTGGCCACCCCCTTGATTGCGCCATGAAAACATCCCCCCTTTTACCTTTGCCAGCTGTTTTCTCCCGCTAACTCTACTCTTTATTGCCTCTCTCACCCCTGATCTGTCATCTCTATTGCTCTAGTCTATCAATTGCCAAGTCTATATTTAACCACAGGTAAGCACCTCTTCTAACTGATAGTCATTTAAAAAAGCATTTTGCAGCATTTCTATACCATGCCTTATAATTGTTACGCAATTTGTTTTTCATGCCTCTCAAAGGACGAATCCTATTTTCCATGATAGCATATTTTACTATCCCCACAAAAAGAGAATGAAGCAATTTGATTTGAACATTTAGAAGCTTTTCCTTCTTCTTAAAATTCCCCAGTATCATTACCATTAATTTAATTACTCTACCTTTCTTGTTTCAAAAAAAAAAAAAAAAAAGAGAAAGAGGTGTTTTCCATTCTAAAGTTTAGTCACCTGCTTGTGCTTTAGCTACTCTGGACCTATATCCACCAAACATTCTCCTTTTTTTCTATTAAATCTTAAACTTTGCTTTGCCCCTGGCTCTGTACCAAGCTGTTCGAGTTTTCTCCCTCCTTTCCTCTGTACACAGGCACAAAAACTTCCCTTGATTTTAGCAAGCTTCCCTTTGAGGTCATCACCTTTTCTTTCCCTTTAACCACCTGCTTTCTTACAACAGTTTTACATAATGTCTTCTCTTTTCTCTCCTTAGAAAATCAACATAACAGAAATATTTTCCCTTCTAGCATGCTCCTCATTTTAACTGCACGTTCTCATTATATCAGCAAGTAAGATTGTTCATATCTTTTCCGTTTGTTCTTCCCATGTTTTCAGGGCTTTGGTGTCTCTCCTCACTGAAGTGGGAATTGTCATGATAAAATATGACAATATAGATAGCATTTGAGTTAAAGAGGAAGGAAACATATGGGTAGTTGACAACACACATATGTCACTTACGCCAGGACCACACTGGAGAAGCCAGTTCTCTCAACTACGGTCACTGGTTTTATACAAGATCAAGCTAATTCTTTTTTAGGTGGGTTTGGGAAATGACTTTGAGCAAATGTATTTATTCTCAGTGTATTTTCAACAGATAGTTTTGTTCCAAAAAATAATCTTGTGGCTGTTCTTCTAGACAAAGCAGAATCACTAATAGGTATTTGAAGGTCTGATCTGCCCACGGCATAAGCATACAGCTGTTGGGCCAACAGGTCTGTAGTTAGTAAATGAGGCAAAGGTCAACTGAAATGTCTTTTATGTAGTATCTAAGCCTGGAAAGCACCCGGACAGAACAAAGAAGACCCGTTAGCACAGCAGCAATCCCAAGTGGGGATGAGTCCAAGGGCTCCGGACTTATTCCCTGAGACGCTAAGGCTCAACTTCTGTACTTATTTTTCTTCTTATTTGAAAAGCCTCAGTGACTCGTCATTCTCTGTTTTTAATCTTTTGCCACAGGGGAGAAGCTCCTTTAAAAATATATATATATTATATATATATATATACACACACATATATAATTTTTGAGAAAAAAATATATATACACATTTTTGAGGAAAAAATATAATACATATGTATTTTTTGAGGAAAAATATGTATACATATATATTTTTTGAGGAAAAGTATGTATACATATATATTTTTTGAGGAAAAAGTATATATACATATATATTTTTTGAGACGGAGTTATAATTGTTACTTGATTTGTTTTTCATGCCTCTCAAAGGCACCTAATCTGCCTGAAGTGTAATTTTAATACCTTTAATACTCTTCAAGCAATGCTTTAGAGATTCAGATCATTTTCTTGATGTGAGGTCATCTGCAGCATGTGGCTTCTGTGGTCACCACAGAGGCAAAAGATGGTGGAGGAGGCATAACTGCTTCAGCTCAGAAATGACACTTTATTTTTTTGTTCCTTTTGTGGGAATCAATCTCATGGCCCTACCTGGAAGAAAGACAGCGTAAACAATTGTTCTCTTTTTCTTTTTTTTTTTTTTTTTTTGAGACAGAGTCTCGCTCCGTCACCCAGGCTGGAGTGCAGTGGCATGATCTTTGTCACTACAACTTCTGCCTCCCAGGTTCAAACAATTCTCCTGCCTCAGCCTCGCAAGTAGCTGGGGTTACAGGTGCCGGCCACCACGCCCAGCTAGTTTTTGTATTTTTGTGTGTGTGTGTGTGTGTGTGTTTCTATTTTTATTTGTTTCAAGGAATTTAACATTTTTAAAACTTTTTTCATTTTTAAAAATATGGATCACTTCATGAATTTGCACTTCTCCTTGCAGGGGTCATGCTAATCTTCTCCATCATTTCCACTTTAGGATATTGCCACGGTTTCTACGGGACTGAACAAAGGGGGACCCACACAGGAATGAAAACTTAAAACAAAAGTAAGTATTTTAAAGGAAGGGGCCAGGGGAAGAAGAAGAGCACTCGCAGCTTCCAGTGAGCATGAACAGCACCTGAGCTTCCACAGCCCTTCCTATTTGTTGAGTAGAATGAGCAGGGAGGAGGAGGTAATGATTGCTCAGCTGCTTAATTGATCACAGGTTCATATTATTACTAAGAGGCTTCAGATGTGCCCTGTAGATAATCACAAGAAACACTTGTGCCTGGGTCGTGACTGCCTCAGCATTCCTTCTGGGCGGTAGACGCAGTTTGTCAGTTTACCAGTTTGCCAACGTTCTGCTTTTCTGAGAACAGTTTGCTGTTTACTCATATACCCTCCAGTGGTATACTGAGTTGATCACAACCCTCACTTTCTGCAGCAGCCACTAAGGAAGGCGCAGAGGGACTTCCTTTCGGCCCGAAACAGTATCTGTGCTGCCAAAGTGAGTATGGAATTTTAAATTTTCATTCTTAATCTCTTCCTTCACCCACTGGTCATTCAGGAGCATGTTGTTTAATTTCCACGTATTTGTATAGTTTCAAATGTTCCTCTTGTTATTGCTTTCTAGTTTTGTTGCACTGTGGTCAGATAAGATACCTGGTATGATTTTGATTTTTAAAACATTGTAGAGACATGTTTTGTGTCTTTTTTTTTTTTTTTTTTTTTTGTATTTGTTGATCATTCTTGGGTGTTTCGCGGAGACGGGGATGTGGCAGGGTCATAGGATAATAGTGGAGGGAAGGTCAGCAGATAAACACGTGAACAAAGGTCTCTGGTTTTCCTAGGCAGAGGTCCCCGTGGCCTTTGGCCCTGTTTGTGTCCCCGGGTATTTGAGATTAGGGAGTGGTGATGACTCTTAAGGAGCATGCTGCCTTCAAGCATGTGTTTAACAAAGCACATCTTGCACCGCCCTTAATCCATTTAATGCTGAGTGGACACAGCACATGTTTCAGAGAGCACGGGGTTGCGGGTAAGGTTATAGATTAACAGCATCCCAAGGCAGAAGAATTTTTCTTAGTACAGAACAAAATGGAGTCTCTTATGTCTACTTCTTTCTACACAGACACAGTAACAATCTGATCTCTCTTTCTTTTCCCCACATTTCTCCCTTTTCTTTTCTCCCCCTTTTCTTTTTGACAAAACTGCCATCGTCATACTGGCCCGTTCTCGATGGTCGCTGTCTCTTTGGAGCTGTTGGGTACACCTGCAGAAAGGCTGTCACTTCACACTTGGAAGATTGCACAGCGGCCAGGCAGAGGCGCTCCTCACTTCCCAGACGGGGTGGCGGCGGGGCAGAGGCGCTCCTCGCATCCCAGACGGGGCAGCCGGGCAGAGGTGCCCCTCACTTCCCAGACGGGGCAGCCGGGCAGAGGCCCCCCTCACTTCCCAGACGGGGCGGCCAGGCAGAGGCGCTCCTCACTTCCCAGACGGGGTGGCGGCCGGGCAGAGGCTGTAATCTTAACACTTTGGGAGGCCAAGGCAGGTGGCTGGGAGGTGGAGGTTGTAGCGAGCCGAGATCACGCCACTGTACTCCAGCCTGGGCAACACTGAGCACTGAGTGAGGAGACTCCGTCTGCAATCCCAGCACCTTGGGAGGCCGAGGCGGGCAGACCACTCGAGGTCAGGAGCTGGAGACCAGCCCGGTCAACACCGCGAAACCCCGTCTCCACCAAAAATACAAAAACCAGTCAGGCGTGGCGGCGCGTGCCTGCAATCCCAGGCACTTGGCAGGCCGAGGCAGGAGAATCACGGGAGCCCGAGGCAGGGAGGTTGCAGCGAGCTGAGATCAGGGCAGTACAGTCCAGCCTCGGCAACAGAGGGAGACCAAAGAAAGAAAGAGGGGGAGGGGGAGTTTTTGTATTTTTAGTAGAGAGGGGGTTTCACTATGTTGGCCAGGCTTGTCTTGAACTCCTGACCTCAGGTGATCCGCCTGCCTCAGCCTCCCAAAGTGCTGGGATTACAGACGTGAGCCACTGGGCCCAGCCTAGAAATTCTATTTTATTGTATATATTTAAGGCACGCAGCATGACGTTACAGGATACATACAGACAGTAAAATGGTTGCCATCGTGAGGCAAATTAACACATCTACCATCTCAGATAATTACACCTAATTTTTTGTGTGTGGCAAGAGCAGCTAAAATCTACTCATTTAGCAGGAATCCCACATACCATACAATTTTAACTGTAGCCCTCATCTTGTGCCATAGATCTCTAGACTCTCTCATCCTAGTAGCTGCTACTTTGTATCCTCTGACCTAAGTGTCCCTATTTCCTCCTCACTACCCTGTCCACTGTTTTATTCTCTGTCTCTGTGTATTTGACTTTTTTTAAAAAGAAAGATCCCACTTAGAAGTAAAATCATGCAGTATTTTTCTTTCTGTGGCTGGCTTATTTTACTTAGCGTAATCCTTAGCGTATACTTTCTCTCTTCTCTTTACTGCCTCTCCTGTGAAGAAAGGCCTCCTGTAACTTGCAGTAAAAGATTTTAAGAGTATCATTAAGAAAATTTGTTATTGCCTCCAAAAAGTTTAGGATATCAGGGTAGTAAGACTCCTAGAACTATAAAAGGTTGATTTCTTATTCTATTTTACTAAAGGTTATTCAAATAATTAAAGTAGCTGGGAAGAAGTTTTTGGTGAAAAACCCCAATTCACTTATCTCCTGTAGATAATAGTTTTGTCATTTCCCTTAAAACGTTACAGAACTCATTCAATACATTCCAATTGCTTTTTCTTCCTAGCAAGATATCATAACACTGGCTTTTTTTTTTTGGATGGGAACCCCTTTGATGATCACCCTGTGTACACTTTTCATTTAGAAAATAATTCATTGAAAACATTTTCTAGGGTCAGGCCCAGCGCTGCTCTTCTTTCTGTGTTCTTATACTAGGAGAATTTGCCAACTCCCCAAATTTCAAATTCCATGGTCGCCTAAGAATATGATCCTAACCTTCATATTTTAGATAATTTGCACTTTTATGTAATTTTTTTCTCCATAGGATCAATATGTGTAAAATGAGACAATATTCTTCCTTGATCAGTGGGGATTACAAAATGATAAATTGTGATTCTTAATGAGAACATTGATTGAAACCTTTTAGTAAAGATATTTATTAAAAATATTTACTCCTGGCTGGGTGCAGTGGCTCATACCTGCAATGCCAATACTCTGGGACACCTGGGTGAGGGGATCACTTGAGGCCATGGAGTTCCAGACCATCATGATGAGACCCTGTCTCTACAAAATAAAGATAAAAATAATTAGCCAGGCATGGTGGAGTGTGCCTGTAGTCCTAACTACATGGGAGGCTGAGGCAGGAGAAGCACTTGAGCCCAGGAGTTCTATGATCACCCCACTGCACTTCAGTCTGGGCAAGAGAATGAGACCCTATCTCTAAAATAAAGAAAATAAGATACAATAAAATAAAACTATTTACTCCTATAACAAAGGATAATTTTGTTACATGTGGACAGCGGGAAGGTCTGAAATAAGTTAGTACTGAGGTTTGGCTGTGTAACCCCCAGTCTCCTGTACCCTGAAGCTGTATCAGGTCCACACCCTACTGAATGCAGCCTGTGTGAAGTGGGTTTGCCAGGGTGAGAAGTAGCATCGTGTTACCAAACCACCTTTTAGAATAAAATGCTCCAATATTAGGTAGAGAGACTGCTTAGAAAGTCAGAGCATTTTTCCCAAGGTTACTTCTCTATTATTAGAAAATAAAAAATTTAAAAAAAAACTCTTGCACATTTGCACCAGATTGAAAGTTAATAGAAAGTTCATCCTCCAGACGTCTCTTTAGGTGAATCTGCCATATATGCTCCAAATTAGATTCTCTCTTCAATTTCCTTGTCTCTTCTAAGGATATTACCATTTTTCCAATTACTTTCACTCAAAACCTTGGAGTTCTCTGTGACAGATCTCTCTCCTTTACTCACTCTGTCAAAAATTAAAAATTTCTTGCAATTCCCCCTGACACCTTCCAAATCCCAGCCTGCAATGATTCATTTTCATGCCACTCAGCAAACCACTTGACTGGATTTCAAGAATGTTGTTCCCACACCACAATTCTTCTCTAATTATGGCACCAAATAAGAATCTCTCAAGGAACATGTCACTCCTCGGCTGAAAAATCCAAATTGTGTCTCTGTAACATTTTGAAAACAAAACCCTCCTTTCAGAGGTCCACATGTTGTCCCTTGGTCCTTATTTTCCATCTTATTTCTCACTGTTTTCCAAAGTGAATATGAGGTCATATCACTCTGATATGACCACTATCTTTATTCTCCTTGAATTCATCGTTTTCTCTTTTTCATTAAATTCACTTACTCTGATTTTATCTCATTTCACATTTGAAGCTTAGACAACTAGCCAGGTTTTCAACAGTCTCTCATGGCTTCCAACTCTGATATTAACCCCAGCCTGGCTCTCAATAGGCATTAAATTATACCCTTAAGATAGTGCTAGTATTAAGATAGTGAAGATATTAAGATAGTGAAAAGGTTGCCTGAGCACATGTACTTTAACCTGGGATCCGCTGGATTCTGGAGGTTTCAGACCCTTGTATCTTACTTGCTGGTGACCTTCCTCTTGAGCCCTATCCGTTGTTTCTGAAACCGCAGCCTGTTCCTTCTCTTTACTAAATTTGATCACATCTAAAAATAAAATTCCTTTGAGTTCCTCCTTCTCATCCCAGCTTCTGAGCCTAATCTAGAAACATGATTTTACCCTACAACTGTGTCTGATGTGAACTATTTTGGGCATAATTAGTCAATAGGACGGTATGATTGTTTTCCTGTAACCGACCTAGGCTGAAGTCTTTTGAACAAACTGGATACATTGAAAACAAGACAAAACAAAACCCTAATATATTAGTTAAAGTCTGAAGCAACACATCAAAATGAGATGAAGTCAGATTAAGTGTGGTTTCCTAATTCAATTTAGATACTAAGTCCAAGGCTAAAATTTAAGACTGAAATCTTGGTATAATTCCTTTAACATAAATCTTGTACATTGGTAAACTCTTTGCTTTTTGTGTTTGTTTTTGAAAGCAAGAAGCGTCCATTTTCCATGTATATGTCTTCGTAAGTTCCAGCACAGAGTGTACTACCTTTTCACTATTTTATATTTTTATATTATTTATCTAAGATGGATGTTGTTAATCTGTAGCTTGCAAACAAATTCTGACTATCTGATTGTTTTTGTAAATAAATTTTATTGGAACACAGCCATACCCATTTAATTACATATTATTGTTTACATATTGTCTGTGGCTGCTTACCCTGGATTGCACAGTTGAGTAGATGTGACAGAGCTGATGTGGTTGCAAAGTCTAAAATTTTTTCCATCTAGTTCTTTAGAGAAAAGTTTGTCTACCCCAGATTTAAGAAGACACTATGACAAAAAGAATCCGTATACCTTTGGCCTTCTGAAATTGAAATGATATGCATCACGAGGCAACAATTTTGAGTTGGCAAGTGTAAAATGAATAACAGTGCAAATAATCACTTGGGAACCAAGTCAAATCTTTCCTCCTCCATCAGGTTTTCCTTCCTATCCCCACAAAGTTAATTGCCCCCCTCCTTTGTGCTACAACATGTTGTTGTAACAATGAAAACATTAATGATTGTTGATGTATTTGGCTTCCGAATTAAATTATGATCTTTACAGGGGCAAGGAGCATATTATATTTATCTTGACTCACTCTAATGCCTACAGTTGTGGTGTGTATGAGCTCAATAATCTCTCATTGCTAGAAAAGATAAGTGGATGGTTTTTGTAAGTAAGAAATTGCAGTCCAGTGAAAAACAGCTTTTAGCATTTCTACTTATTTTATTCCCTTGGAATTAATACTTACTTTATTCTCTCAGAACTTTGAGAAATATTCTCAATAAATGGGCTAACCATGCAGGGTTAGAGATGATGATGCAATCTTACTTTTTAAATTTTTTTTACAGACAAGGTCTTGCTCTGTCACCCAGGCTGAAATGCAGTGGCTTAATACTAACCCACTGCAGCCTCAAACTCCTGATCTCATGTGATCCTTCTGCCTCAGCCTTCCAAGAAGCTAGGATTATAGGCACACACCACCATGCCTCACTAGTTTCATTTTTTTATTTGTAATTTTTTGTAGAGACAAGGTCTTGCTACATTGCCCAGGCTTATCTCGAATTCCTGCCCTAAAGCAATCCTCCTGCTTCAGCCTCTCAAGGTGCTGGGATTATAGATGTTAGCCACCATGCCTGGCCATACAACCTTATTTACAGACATTACCTGAAGAGAAGACACAGGTTGAAATCACTAACAGTTTTGTAATAAAAGGTTTTAAAAGGCTTGTAGATAACTTCAGTTAATTTAATACAGGATATTGGTAGGATATACCTGTCCTACTTTGAAAATAGCAATTTGTCTTTTTGTCAAGCAGGTTGACTGTAAATATCAAAAGCAAATTACTGATTGGGATAAATATTGTTCAAGCCTAATTGTAGAAACCTTATGTTCTATAAATTGGGCCATGTGTCCAATCCCAGTCACTTTCCATTTGTTTACTTGTCTATTTCTTTATTTATTTAACCATCAAGGATGGATTATGTATCCTATATCAGGGACTGGATTATGTGCATTTACTTACAAAATTATCCAAAAACTCTGAGAAGTAAATGTGCTTAGTTTTTGTTTTTAGGATGGAAACCCTTATAAAATACATAATTTCCTGTAGGTGTAGTGGCTAGAGAGAGATCAGATGTTACTATCATCACGTGGTTTTTGCTATCACTGTCCATCAAGGTAAATTCAGTTAATTCATTTAATCCTACTGGAAAGGTACATGTCTCTTACTAGTCCATGCCCATTACTCCTTAAACTGTAAAATCAGTATACTATTTTTCTTATCTCTGTTATAACAAATTAACACAAATTTAGTTGGTAGAAAAGACACAAATGTATTATCTCACAGTTCTGGTAGGTGGGGATGTTGGATACAGTGTGGCTCAGCAAGGTCCTTTGCTTGGAATATCATAAGGCCCAAATCAATGTTCCTTGATTCCTACATTCTTCTGGAGGGTCTGGAAATTAATCTGCTTCCAAGCTCATTGAGGTCATTGGCCAAATTCAGTTTCTTATTCTGCTAGGTCGAGGTCCCTGTTTCCTTGTGGCTGTTGGCTGGGAGGCCATTTCTCCTGGCTGGCTGCTGACTGGGAGGCCATCTTCTCCTTAGGGAGGGCTGTGATCCCCTTTATTTGTCTCCTGTCTCTTTAAATGGGCACTGACCAGAAGAGTCCTCATGCTTTGATTTAACTGTCTAACTTCCTCTTCTGTTGCACCCTTCTTGCCTCCAAAGAGAGAAACATCTTTGTTTTTAAAGGCACATGTGATTAAATTGTGCCCACATGGATAAGTCACAAAAACCTCCCTTCCTTAAGGTTCATAGCTTCAGATGACATCTGCAAAGTCCCCTTTGTTATGTAAGGTAACATTTTCACAGGTTCCAGGGATCAGGGAACATCTTTGGCATGGACATCTTTGGGGGTCATTCTGCCTACCACGTTTGGTAGGATCCCTTTCTTAAAGAATTCTTTAGACTCAGTTATATAAGCTAGAAATGGCTTGATTGTGCTGTAAGAATAAATGACCTCACAGTCTCATGGAAACATAGTTTATTTCTTGATCATGCTTCATCAAAGTTTGGTTTCTTTTCTGCTCTGCATCATCTTCTCTCTAGGACCCAAGGTGGCAAAGCTTCCTTTATCTGGAACATTGTTAGTAATCGTGGCCAAGTAAAAAGGGATAAACCTTCTGCCCAGAAATGACAAGCACACATCGCTTCTCACATGTCATTGGCTGAGGCATGTCACATTTTGCATAATGCCTACCTCCCCCATGAAAGTCAAGGCAAAGAGGAAAATTTGATATTTTGTGCAAAATAATATAATCTACCCTAAAAAACAAGCTTCTTATCATTGCTAAATCTTCTGTTGAAGACTAGTATTGTCAGGCAACACCAATTCCTTACTATTAGGTGAGAATACATAGTGTTACAAAGGAATTTTATTTCTAGTACTGAGACTCTATGTAGAATATTCAGAGTATTCATAGCAAACTAGTACCCACGGGATAAAACAATGAAAGAAATAGAAGGAAAGACTTCAGTAAGGACACCAAAGAAGTCAAAAGTTACAGACATGTTGCAAGTACAAACAACATGAAAATTATTTTGCTTATATTTTATGAAGTCCTAAATAAAGACACACACAGAAAATACCAAAAAATAATTGAGAAAATGCTGACAATCCTCCAAATTAAAGACATTTTAAAATGTTAAGGATTAGAGTTGAGTTGTTCTATATGTTATCCAAATAGTCTTCCCATTTTAACTTTTGATATCAAGACAATTGCTCTGATCTCAAACAAATACTAGTTTTTCTTTACAGAGAGAAAAAAAAAATCCAAAAGGAGTGACTAACATTTACTTAACACCTCCCGTGAGCCTTGTGAATGGAAGGAGAAGTTTTTGTTTGCTCCTTCTGCTTTGCACCAAGTCCAGCTGGTATTATTCACACATTATGAGATGATTACCATCAGTTACAGTCCACTTTAGTAGGGTGGTTGCAAGATTCATACCTATGTGTTTGACAGTAGGTGGCCATGAGAGGAAACCATTGAAGGGAGGAGCTACTGTGTATCTTTGTAATAGTCAATTGATGTTCTGCTAGTATGTGGAAGACCTGGTTGTTGTGGAGGTTGCAAAGATAAATACGCAACTGTCCTAGACTTTAAGAAACATTTTTATCTCTACTATCTTGAAGTCTTTGGTAGTTCATGTCAATTGAGTTGCTACCATTTTGTGGATCATTGTTGCATATTTATTAACTATTATCTTTTTGTGAACATGCAGGAAAACCTGGCTCAACTGTCCCCTCTTTTGACATGCTCTCTGCCTCCCTTGTCACTCTGAGTGATGAAGACTCACATCTTCTCTGCTCCTTTAGGACCATTTATCAGCTGCCTCAGCCTCCCAAAGTGCTGGGATTACAGGCATGAGCCACCATCCCTGGCCAGTTGCACCCTTGTTTTAGGCATTCGGCTCTATCTTATGTAGGTCAATTTCAAAGAGTTAATCATGACCCATACTTAGTACTCCTTTTGATTTGATAGTGCCTCCAGATGTGGGCCACCATCTCTGCAATTCTGCATTAATGTGGCATTTGATTCCATAAAAAAGGCAGTTGAATTTAACATTGTTATTGTTGCTATGGCTGTTTTTAAGTACAAGATATTTTGCCAGCACTAGTTGTTGATTCCAAGATTGTGCCAGAGAGCTCACACTCTGGGTTGGGCAGGGAGATATCAGTATGTATAACTTCACAAGACAGACAAAGGTGGAAGAACTCACTTGTTCATGCCTGTTGCTGTGCATGCTCATGCAGTCCATTAGTGGGAATCCTTTTCGAAAGCCTCCCGCATTTCTTTTTGTTTTCATTGAGACGGAGTCTCGCTCTGTCACCCAGGCTGGAGTACAGTGGCGTGATCTTGGCTCACTGCTAACCTCTTCTGCCAGGTTCAAGTGATTCTCCTGCCTCAGCCTCCCCAGTAGCTGGGATTACAGGCGCATGTCACCACCCCTGGCTAATTTTTGTATTTTTAGTAGAGACGGAGTTTTGCCATGTTCGCTAGGCTGGTCTCGAACTCCTGACCTCAAGTGATCTGCCTGCCTCGGACTCCCAAAGTGCTGGGATTACAAGCGTAAGCCACCGCGCTCAGCCCCTCCACCTTTTAAAAACAGAAAATGCAATTAGTCTCCTAAAACATATTTCTAAAGGAGTAAGTTGTAAGTGTAATGTTTAAGGCAAATAAAGTTTAATGCAATTCTAGTAGCAATTTCTGAAGCTCTTTAATTAGTGGAAATAAGCTAACACTTTTCACTTGGGATAAGGTCCAAGAGTAACTTCTTTAAAGACTAAACAGTGAGAAAATAGTTCATGTATAAAAATAAAATGTCTGATTACCTATTTTAATTTGGAGTCTGTAAGAAAATCTTGATTGTAAAGGATAATTGCAGCCATAGGTGTATGATAATACTGTCACTTAAAATCATTCTGATAGGGAAAACTAGGATAATGGATTTGGAATGGTGACAAATCACAGGTCACAAAGTGCTCTGTGTCTTTTAATTCATTTTTTTCATTAATTGTTGAGTGCATGTTAAGTCACAGGCACTGTTCTAGGCTCATAATATTAAAAATAATAATAAAATATGGGCCGGGCGTGGTGGCCCACACCTGTAATCCCAGCACTTTGGGAGGCCGAGGCCAGTGGATCCCCTGAGGTCGGGAGTTTGAGACCAGCCTGACCAACATGGTGAAACCCCGTCTCTACTCAAAATACAAAAATTAGCTGGGCGTGGTGGCCCATGCCTGTAATCCCAGCTACTCGGGAGGCTGAGGCCCAAGAATTGCTTGAACCTGGGAGGTGGGGGATTGCAGCCTGGGTGACAGAGTGAGACTTTGTCTTAAAAAAAAAAGTATAATAATAATAAAATATGGCTGTGTCTTAGAAGATTACACACTGCGGTGGGGGAGCAGGTAAATAATCAAGCAGTTATAAACCAGCATGGAAAGTGATACAGTGAGGGTGATGAAAAGTCTGGGGATCGGTAGATGGAGCACCACCAATTCCAGGCTGTCCAGATGTGGTCTCTGGAGCACCAAACAACCAGACAGAAACCTGAAAGAGAGTTGGAGATTGGCAGCCAATGGCATTGGAGAAGGGGGATGGGAGGTGTCCTTGGAGAGGAAGCCATTTCAGAACAATGTGACCTTAAACGAACTGCACGTGCACACTGGGGCTGGAAATCCAAATAGGAGTTGTATCAGGAAGGGCAAGCCATAACGAGCTTTCATGCATGAAGTCGTGAGTCACGGGAAGATTTCAAACAAGAGAATGAAACAATCGGATTTGTGACTTTGACAGATCGCTTTGACAGTTGAGTGAGATAGGAATCAGGAAGATAAATTAAGAGGTAATCTCTGTAGCCCAGTAAAGAAACACTAAAATCTTCAACTGAAGTTTCAGCAGTGGAAGCAGAGATAAGTGATTTGTTTAATGAGAATTCACATCACTTGGGCACATAGAGAAAGAATTGAATTTGGAGAAAATGAGCCAAGATTATTCCCAAAATTCTGGCTTGAGCAACTCAGTGGGTAATATTACTGTTCACCAAATAAAGGCTATGAGAAGAGATGCAAGTTTAGGGGAAGGGAAGAGAGTGTGGGTATGAAAGTAAGAAATAGATAATTTAGAATAATTTCACGTGTTTAATCATATTTAATAATTACTTGTCTATAATAGAGTGAATAAGGGTGACTTTCTCACTACATTTAAAATAAAATAATTAATTTTTATATGGCTCTACTAGTAAAATCGAAGTTGACATGAAATAGTCATGAAATTAGTCAACCATTTAAATCCATGCAACTTTTAAACATTTAAACCCAATGTTTGTCATGTATACACAAGTGATTCTGAATTGGCATTCATTTTCCATAGCTTTCTAAATAGATGTCGAATTGTGTTTTCACTGAATTATTTAAACTTACTTGTCTTGTGCAACACCACCACAGTGATTTTCTTGTCCTGCAACACTTATTAGAATTGATGTAGCTCAAAATCAGATTTAATTTTTGTATTTATTGCTGGATCTTGCCTGTGGCCATTATTACTAGGATGTTTTATTGGTGATTTTCTTTTCTTTTCTTTTCTTTTCTTTTTTTTTTTGAGATGGAGTCTCACTCTGTCGCCCAGGCTGGAATGCAGTGGCACCATCTCGGCTCACTGCAAGCTCCACCTCCGGGGTTCACACCATTTTCCTGCCTCCGCCTCCTGAGTAGCTGGGACTACAGGCGCCCGCCACCACACCCGGCTAATTTTTTTGTATTTTTATTAGAGACGGGGTTTCACCGTGTTGGCCCGGATGGTCTCAATCTCCTGACCTCGTGATCTTCCTGCCTCGGCCTCCCAAAGTGCTGGGATTACAGGCTTGAGTCACTGTGCCCGGCCTTTAGTGGTGATCTTCTATTTTTTGTTTACACTCTTGCTCTTCCTCTCTCTCTCTCTTTCATGTATCTATATCTATCTCTTTTTCTCTGTCTCTATATGCATTCCATTTTTTTAACACTTCCTTAATGTCTAGTGATATATTTTCTCCTGCTGCAGTTCTGGAATCAGCCACTTCACATGAGCCCTGGCTCCTTTTGCTGGTGCCTGGTATTTAAAAACAAAGATCCAGGCACCAGCTGTGTTCATTGCTAGAGTGGCACTGCCTCTATCCCCTCTCAGTGAAGAAAGCTGGGACACACCTGTAGCTAAACTAACTCATGCATACACACACAACTATATCTGCATCTATGTATTGACATATATACTTTAAAATATGAGTCCATATTAAGACCTCTGACCACAATTCAGCACTGCAGAGTTCATTTTAGCCCTTCTCCTTTTTTATTTGTAACTTCCTTCTTCAGTAGTGAGAAACCTGGCTTTATTATTTATCACATCTTTACTAATCTGTTCAACTCTAGTGTACAACTGAAGGAGTTTCAGAATTCTTAACCAAAACTCCTGTGAGAAACAAATTTATCAACTAGGATACAGTGTTTGTGTACTGTTCCTTTTTCCCCTTAGCCTTACAGTATCCAGTCAAAACAGCATTTTTCCAGAGTTAATTACATCAGTTTCTTCCTCCTGCAGCCGCCTTAAGTATGATCATGTGGTTCATTTGTAATACAATTTCTTCACATTCCGGTAAATTTTAAAAATTAATGTGTAATAAAATTCACTTTTTGTGGTGTTCAGGTCTGTTGGTTTAGACAAATGCATAGAGTTGTATATCCACTGCAACACTTCAAACAATTTTTTAAAAATCTCTTTGTTTTTTATATAAAGATGAAGTTTCACTTTGTTGCTCAGGCTGGAGTACAGTCGTGCAATCATAGTTTACTGTAGCCTCAGACTCCGGGGTTCAAGCAATCCTCCTGTCTCAGCCTCCTGAGTAGCTGCAGACTACAGGTGTGTGCCATCATGCCCGGCTCAAACAAAGCAATTCTATCACCCCAACCCCAGCAACCACTGATTGCTATTCTTTTATAGATTACCTCTTGCTTCCATCCCCCAACCCCAGCAACCACTGATTGCCTTGGGATAATTCTTCCTTTTTTAAAGAGTATCATATAAAATTGAATCATATAATATGGAGTTTTTCTGGTCTTGCTACTTAGTTCACTAGCAGAATGCATTTAAGATTCATCTTTGTTATGTAAATCAATAGTGTGTCTATAAAGTCTAGTATAGCTGTATTAACAGTTTGCTTTTCCATTCACTAGTTGAAGGACATTGGGAGTACTTTAAAGTTTTGTCAACTATGAATAAAACTGCTATAAATCATTGTGTAAGACTTTGCGGGAACATAGATTTTTATTTCTCTTGGTTGTATAGTTAGGTTTGGTATTGCTTTTCTATAGATCCTTTGAGATTTTCTATATAAACAGTCATGTTGTCTGTGAATCGAGAATTTTATTTTTTCATGTTCTTATCTGTATGATTTTATTTTTATTGTCTTGTTGCATTGACAAGAAATTTTAGTACAATGTAAAATAGGAGTTTAGAGAGAAGATTTCCATCCCTCATTCCCAAACTTAATAGAAAATTTTCAGTCTCACCATTAAGTATGATGTGAACTCTAACTTTTTAAAATTGTATTTTGTAGATGTCTTCATCAGATTAGGAAGTTCCCTTCTATGCCTAGGTTGCTACAGAATTTTGTTTCTTTTACCAGGAATGTTAAATTTTGTCAAGTGATGTTTTGGCATCTGTTGAAATGGTCATTTATTTTCTTCTTCAATAGTCTGTTAGCATGGTGAGTTAATTGATTGATTTTTTGAAAGTTAAAGCAGGATAGTTTAAATTTACTGTTTTTACTTTCTTACTTCCCATTCTCCTCTCAACAGATGGCTGTCTATCATCCATACCTCTCATGTCACATAGCTCTCTTGCTAAGCTAATGCTCTTCATTTTGTATAATGTTTTCAATCTTTATTTTACATGATGTCTATTAAACATGGCCACCTTCTAGAAATATACTTTCCTGGTTTTCTTTTTTTATTTTATGGTCACTGCCCCCAATTTCCCTTGTCTTCCTAGAGATGTGTACCCCCTTGGATTTCATTTTCTTGCTTTGTCTATATATCTATTTATCTGTCTATTTTCTCTGCAAGTCTATGTTTCCAATAATCATATACACTTAGGTGACTGCCAAATATAAGTCTCCAATCTAGAACTGTCTCTGGTGAGATCTATGTCCAACACATTTACCTGCATATTATTTTGTAATCAATGTGTATTACCAAATTGACCATGTTGCTCTGCCTCAATTCTTCAAAGCCCCTTACTACTTTTAGCCTAAAAGTTATTAACCTATGAACTCTAAGCCCTACTTAACCTTTCAGATTTATGTCTTGTTTCTTCCCTAGCTATACTGTTAGCTTAATTATACGGAATATTATCTGTTTCCAGATCAAATCACATTATGCTATGTCATGACTCTGAGCCTTTGTACATATTGTTTTCTGTCTGTGTAATGCTCCTCCCTCTTTAAATTTCTTCTCATTTTTCAAAGTTTAGTCTATTTCACCCTTTGTGAGGCCTCATATCTACACCTCTCTGCACTGTTCAATGTCAGGCCACTGATGATTTACTTATCTGTGCTTTCATATCATCTATTCACAACTCACACTATTATGCTGTAATGTCATAATTGGTTTACATGTTTGTTTGTTTTTTTCCACACCCTTCTCCCTATACATACATCTCAGCTACTGGATTTTGATAGCAAGGACTAGATACTGATCCTTTGGCACCTATAAAGGCCCTGATACATAGCTGGCAATAAATCCACATTTGTTGAATGAATAGTCTTAGACAATCTTGAGTCCTAAAAATTTCACCACTATAGGTTTAAATAAGACCTTTGTATGGTAAATTTTTGGCAGAATATAACCAGCAAACTAAGGTGGGAGGTTCTGGCTGTATGCTGAAAAAGAGAGAAAACATCAGTGACGAGGTGGAGTGTTGAGGGCTAAGTCCAACCTTAAGAAACATCACATAAATCTGGGTCAGATGAGGGCTTTGTAGGAATTGAATATCACCATGCAAAAATTTTTCAGATAAAGAGGGCACCGGAAATGTGATGGGGCTCTGCCAATGGAGAACAGCATAGAAGATGTCAACAGTATATATACGTCAATTTAAAATGACTGTTACTCAGCTAATGGCTTCCTATATCGTATGCCTCTATGACAAATTTGTGGAGGCTACGAGTATGAAATGACTCACCTCCTAAGGATGAAGTACCATTTCTAATGAACTCTTGATGACTGATCATCGTAAAATCGATGCTGCATGACAATCCAACTTCCTTCTTGCAAAGGTTTTGGAGGGTCATTTCTTAAACTTTACCCCTTATGCCGAAAGAAAGTTAAACTTTTGGTTTAACTTTTAAAATCTATGTTTTTAAAAAAAATACGATTTAAATACAGAAGCCACTTTGGAAAGCATTTGCTTAATTAAATTAGGCTGTAGGCCAAAGACAAAATAAGGGTCAAAGATCTCAGACTGGAAAAGCAGCAGAGCATGAATCAGCATCTTATTTATAATCACACTTGAAAATCAAGGTCATTTTTGTTCTGGTAGTATGAAGGAAGCTCTGGGTTTCAATAAGAACTGTAGTAGAAACCTCTTAACTGTCCTCCACTTAATCTACTTTCTGGAGTAACTGACGCTTTGTGTTCCCTGTCTAAAATGTAATGACTGGGGCCACTGACATGCTGAAGCTTGTGACTATGCCCCAAAACCAGGGTTAGCAACTATGGCCCATGAAGAAAATCTAGCACACTGCCTGTTTGGCTATTATTTCATTTTCTTAAAAATTGTGATGAAATACACATGAGAGTCACCATCTTAAACATGTTAAGTATACAGTTCAGTGGTATTAAATGTATTCATAATATTGGACAACCATCACACCATTTATCTTCCACTTTTCATTTTATAAAACTGAAACTCTGCATCCATTGAATAATGACTTTCTAATGCCCCTGTCAACCACCATTCTACTTGCTGTCACTGTGATTTTGACTACTACAAAACCTCATATAAGTAGAACCATACTACAGTATTTGTCTTTTTGTGACTGGCTTATTTCAATTAGCATAGTGTCCTCAAGATTCATCCATGTTGTAGCGTGTGCCAGAATTCCCTTCCTTCTTAAGGCTGAATAATATTTCATCGTTACGTATATGCCACATTGTGTTTATTCATTCCTTCATCAACAGACACTTGGGTTTGCTTCCATGTTTTAGCTACTGTGAATAATGCTGCATGAGTGTACAAATATTTCTTCAAGATGATGCTTTCAAATCTTTTGGGTACATACCCAGAAGTGGAATAACTGGATCCTATGGTAGTTGTATTTTTATTTTTTGTTTTGTTTTGTTTTTGTTCCTTTTTTTTTTGAGATGGAGTCTTGCTCTGTTGCCCAGGCTGGAGTGCAGTGGCGCCATCTCGGCTCACTGCAAGCTCTGCCTCCCAGGTTCACGCCATTCTCCTGCCTCAGCCTCCTGAGTAGCTGGCACTGTAGGCACCTGCTACCATGCTTGATGAACTGTCATGAGTAATTTCCATAGTGGCCATGTGATAACATCCTGATAAACAGTGCAGGAGGGTTTCAGTTATGCCACAGCTTTGCCAATGCTGTCATTTTCACTTTTTAAGTTTTATTTTTGATACTAGCCATCCTAGTAAGTGTGAGGTAGTATCTTACTTGTAGTTTTGATTTGTATTTCTCTAATGATTAGTGATGCTAAGCATCTTTTCATGTGCTTATTGACCATTTATATATCTTCTTTGAAGAAATGTACATTCAAATCCTTTGCCAATGCTTGAATCAAGGTGTTTTTGTATTTTTTTTTAGTTTTAGAAATTGTCTATATGTTGTGAATATTAATCCTTTATCAGATATATTATTTGCAAATATTTTCTTCCAGTCTGTAGGTTACCTTTTTACTCTATTGATACTTATTTTTTTGTACAATATATTAGAAATTTTATAAAATCCAATTTATTTTTGTTGTTGCCTGTGCCTTTGATACACATCCAATAAATCATCACCAAATGCAGTATTGTGAAGTATTGTCCTATGCTTTCTTCTAAGAGTCTTACAGTTTAAAATCTTACACTTAGGCCTTTGATCCATTTTGAGTTAGTTTTTGTATGTGGTGTAAGGGCTCAACTTTATTCCTCTGCATGCAAATATCCAGTTTTCCCAGAACAATTATTGAAGAGACTGTCCTCTCCCCATTGATTAGTCTTGGCACACTTGTCAAAGATCATTTGACTGTATATGCAATAGTTTATTTCTGGGATCTCTATTCTATTCCATTCCATTGGTCTATATGTCTGTCTTCATGCTAGTACCACACTCTTTTTACTACCCTAGCTTTGTAGCTTTGAAATCAGGAATGTGAGTCCTCCAACTGTTTTCTTCTTCTTTTGAGATTGTTTTGGCTGTTTGGAGTCCTTTGGGATGCCATATGAATTTTAGAATGTGTTTTTCTGGTTCCCCCCAAAATTTATGGGATCTGGATAGGAATTGCATTGAATCTGTAAGTTGCTTTGGTAATATTGACATCTTAACAATGTTAAATCTTTCAATCATGAACATAGAGTGTTTTTTCCATTTGTTTATGTCCTCTTTAATTTCTTTTAACAATTTTTTTCTTTTTTTTGTTGTTGTTGTTGTCCTTGTTTTTGTTTTCTTTCTTTTTTTAGTTTTCATTGTGCGTGTCTTTCACCTACCTGGTTAAATTATTCTTTTTTGATGTTATTGTAAATGAAATTCTTTTCTTAATTTTGGGGGGGTTGTTTATCATTACTCTATAAAAATACTACTGACTTTTGTGTGTTGACATAATATCCTACTACTTTTCTGAATTCATTTATTTGTTATAACAATGTTTTGTTAAATACTTAGGCTTTTCCAAATACTAGATTTTATTATGTGCAAACAGAGATAATTTTATCATTTCCCATTTAATGCCTTTTATTTCTTTTTCTTGCGTAATTTCTCTGACTAGAACTTCCAGTACTATCATGAATAGAAGTGACAACATAAAGGCATGTTTGCCTTGCTCCTTATCTTAGAAAAAAAGCTTTCAGTCTTTCACCATCGAGAATGGTGTCCATTGTGAGTTTTTTACAAATGGCTTTTCTTATATTGAGATAGTTTTCTTCTATTCCCAGTTTGTTGGGTATTTAACAGTCATGCAGAGGTGTTACATTTTGTCAAATGCTTTTTCCGCATCAATTGAGATGATCATGGTTTTTGTTTTCTTCAGTCTGTTAACGTGGTGTATTACATTAGTTAATTTTCCCATATTGCATCTTCCTTGCATTTCAGAAATAAACCCCACTTGGTTACAGTGTATAATTCTATATGCTGCTGAATTTGGTTTTCTAATATTTTATTGAGAATTTTGCATTGATGTTCATAAGGGATATTGGTCTATAGTTTTCTTTGCTTGTATTTTCTTTTCATTCTTTTTTTTTTTTTTTTTTTTTTTTTGAGACAGAGTCTTGCTCTGTTGCCAGGCTGGAGTGCAGTGGCGCAATCTCAGTGCACTGCAGCCTCTGCCTCCTGGGTTCAAGTGATTCCCCTGCCTCAGCCTCCCAAATAGCTGGGATTACAGGCACGCACCACCACACCCGGCTAATTTTTTGTATTTTAATAGAGACGGGGTTCACCATGTTGGCCAAGACTGTCTCGATCTCCTGACCTCGTGATCTGCCCGCTTTGTCCTTACACGCGTGAGCCACTGCGCCCGGCCTCTTTGCTTGTATTTTCTTTGGCTTTGGCATCTGGGTAATAGTGGACACAGCATAAGTTAGGAAGTGTTCTCTTCTTCATGTTTTTTTTTTTTTTTGGAAAAGTTTGAGAAAGTTTGGTGTTATGTTTTTCTTTAAATATTTGGTAGAATTCATCAGGGAAGCCATCAAATCCTGGGCTTTTCTTCTTTGGGAGATTTTTGAGTACTGATTCAATCTCCTCACCAGTGTAAATCTTTACAGATTTTATATTTCTTCATGATTTCATCTTGGTAGGTTTTATGTTGCTAGGAATTTGTTCATTTCATCTAGGTTATTCAATCTGCTGGTCTACTTGTTTATAGTTCTCTCTTATAATTCTTTTATTTATGTAGAATTAATAATAATGCATGTCCCACTTTCATTTCTGATTTTGGTATTAATAATTTGAGTCTTCTTTTTTTGCATGGTTCATCTGAACTATAGTGTTGCCATTTTTTACATCTTTTCAAAGAAGAAAACTTTGTTTTATTGATTTTTTATACTGTGTATTCTCTATTTCATTCGTCTCTCTCTAGTCTTTGTTATTTCCTTTCTTCTACTTGCTTTGGGTTTAGTTTGTTCTTTTTATAGTTCCTCAAGATGTAAAGTTAGGTTGTTGACTTGAGAGCTTTCTTGTTTTTTAATGTAAGCATTTATAGCTATAGATTATCCCTTCCACTGTGTTCCATATATTTTGGTGTATTTTCTTTTCATGCCTCTCTAAGGACACTGCACCAAAATAGCAGAGTTGAATTCTTGTGTCAGAGACATTCTTGCTCTCAAAGCCAAAAGTATTTATATATGAACATTAACAGAAAGTTTGCCAATACTTCCCCTAGAAGATTTCCACTTTATGAAATGTATGAGGCAGTTGTGTTGTTCCTAATCCTTAATATCACTTGTGTTTGCTATTGGAGGCATGCTAAGTTAAGTAAACATTTAAGAAACTGATGATACATGAGTGCAACAACAAAAACTGATATTAATTATTTGAACAAAATGAGTAGTGATTTAGAAAAATACAACATAAGCAATTGCCTAAAATATTGATATTAAATTAGGTATAAAATCATGTTAAAAAGCTACGATTTTAAGATTCCTTTACAACTTTCTCCTATTTTCACTCCATACCATAGATAGAAGCTGAAAATTGTAAACAATACATTATAGATGTAATTTGTTGGCACACACAAGAATAATGTGGAATTGAATTAGTAGAACTATAGTCAAGGAACAACCTTTGGCCTGTGATTATCGATTGCCTGGGTCAATGTTTAACATCAAAATATCGTTGGTTTAGGCATTAGGCGAAGTTCATTGAGCACTAATAAGATAATAAAATTATCCACGGAATTACCTGTGCTCAAGAATAAAATTTGAAGGTGATTAATCTGCATTGAATGTTAAAATATGAACAAATGAGAGGTTCTTCGCTTCCTAAATAATAAAACAAAAATCAGAGCAGAATAAAAAAAGTGTAAATTATAAATCATAGTAGCCACTGGAAGCAATGCTGAACTCACAAGTTATAGATTTGTTTTTTTTCTTGTTTTGTATTGTTATTGTTTTCAGAAAAATCACTAAATCTTAAGGCTTTTAAAACTTTTTATTGTTCATCTTTACCAATTTTCTGTCCTTACAAAAACAAGGATGAATTGAGTCTAGATTATTCAAAGATAATTGTATCAGTCCTGTTTTCACACTGCTATAAGGAACTGCCTGAGACTGGAAAGGAAAGAGATTTAATTGACTCATAGTCCAGCATGGCTGGGGAGGCCTCAGGAAACTGACAATCATTGGTGGAAGGGGAAGGGAAAGCAGCACCTGCTTCACAAGGCAGCAGGAAGGAGAAGTGCCAAGCAAACGGGGAATAGCCCCTTATAAAATCAACAGATTTTGTGAGAAGTCATCACTATCATGAGAACATCATGGGAGAAACCACCCCCATGATCTAATTACCTCGACCCTGTCTCTCCCTTGACATGTGGGGATCATGGAAGTTATAAGTCAAGATGACATTTGGGTGGGTACACAAAGCCCAACTTACACAAGTCTATGTGTAAGTCATAGACTTAAACATTGTGTAAAACACTTGAAGAAAAAATAATTTCAATAAAAAGTTATTTCTAATTAGCACTTTCTTTTTTTTACCCGTGAAGAACTAAAAAAAGTTATTTATTTATCATAAAATATAGCTGTTGATTTAGCTAGTTCAAGAAGCCCTGGAAATGTTGAAAAAGATGATGTAAGTAAGAATGTCTGAGGTCTATAATTTTTAAATTAGAAGAAAATTTTACAGACTTATTGAAAAGTCATCAAGATACAACAATTTGTTTACTTTTGTTACCTTAATGGAGAATGAAATTCAAATAAATTTGTTAAATCTTATGGAAAACTTGGGCTGAGGTTGAAAACTACAGAAAATTCTGCACTATAAAGAGATAATCAATAATGTAATGTTACTCATCTCACATAAACTGGAAGTTCCATTTACAGAAATATGGCACACAATAATGGATTGGTGGTAATACTTTTTTTTCTAAAATTAAGAATGAAGTTGGAATCATGTAGTTTGTGATAGAAACAAATCAAAGTATGGAAAGTAATAATAAGAAGAGGAAGTAAAAAGAGGATGAGGAGAGACCAAATAAGGTAAAAGATTTATAAATTAGGAGCTGGAGACAGTCCAGATATCACTTTATTTTAAATTGAACAAGAACACAAAGCAAGTCAATAATATTCATTTTATAAATGGAGATATTATGTTGGAAAAACTGAATTTAATTCATAAGCAGCTTTACTGAAATCTTAATATATGGAAACAATAGCCAAAATCACCACTTTAAGGTATATAAGTATGTAAAGTATAACTTTAAATAAATCAATTAGTTACTAGTATCATTTAAGAATTTGAAAACTAGGCCAGGTGCGGTGGCTCATGCCTGTAATCCCAGCACTTTGGGAGGCCGAGGCGGGCGGATCACGAGGTCAGGAGATCGAGACCATTCTGGCTAATACGGTGAAACCCCGCCTCTACTAAAAATACAAAAAAAAAAAAAAAATTAGCCGGGCGTGGTGGCGGGCACCTGTAGTCCCAGCTACTCGGGAGGCTAAGGCAGGAGAATGGCATGAACCCAGGAGGTGGAGCTTGTAGTAAGCCGAGATCATGCCACTGTACTCCAGCCTGGGTGACAGAGCGAGACTCCGTCTCAAAAAAAAGAAAAAAAAAAAAAGAATTTGAAAACTATTTTCAGTAAAATGCAAGGAATACTAACTATAAAATGATAGAACCTTACACTGAGTAGGGACTTTGTAAGTTACCTAAATCAATCTACTATATAGTAGTGTCAATACAATCCCATTTAAGTGCTGGCTCATGAGACTGCATCATACTTTATGAAGGACTTTCCAGAGGGGAAAGAACCACCGGGACTAGCCCCAGCCCAAAGGACTGAAGGAGAACAAGAAGTCAAATTCTGGGAATGCAAATGTTAATATCAAATACAAAGACAGGGACCATTCTGAATGGGAGCTGGAGCCAGGAGTGAGAAACCCAGCATATTTGGAGCAGAAAAGGAAGGCTGTCTTGCATTGGATCAAAGAGGCTTTGTGACGTTGGTTCACATTTGTTACTCTCTGGGCACGTCGGCATCTCTGGGTGTTCTGGGCTGGCTTAAGGAATCTCAAATCAGAGTAGACAAATGTAGTGGTTTCCTTCATTACGTCTCTAAAAATCATGCAGCCTCTGCTTTCACACTTCCAGTAACAAAATCACAACTTTTTCTCCTTTGTGAGGAAGGTGTTTGTTACATTGACCCCAAATTCTCACTTTGACACTCCTTTTACCTGTGAAGAACTAAAAAAAAAAAGTTATTTATTTACCATAAAATATAGCTGTTGATTCAGCTAGATTGGGAATCCCTGGAAATATTGACAAAGATGATATAAGTGTAAATGTCTATCAGATAGACATGTCTATCTGAAAGAGGGATACAAAATAAGAACACTTTTAAGTATTAAATATTAACATATAATATTTAACATTAAATATTAACTGTTCTCTGGATTTTTCATTTATCAGGTTAAATATCTTGATTCTTTTTCAGTAATCCCTAAAATGAAATCTGTACTCATATTTTATGTTTGTATAAATACTCTTTGCCTATACTTCAGTTTCTCTATATATTATAAAGAAATGAAAATCATAGAGTTGTACCTTTTCAGAGGAAGTAGAATTATTACTTACAATAAATTATAGCATATGTTATTAGGAGTCAGGCAACAAAACTGTCTCAGATTGAGCTAAATGTTCATATCTTTTTTTTTTTTTTTTTTTTTTTTTTTTTTTTTTGAGCTGGAGTCTTTCTTTCTCTGTCACCCAGGCTGGAGTTCAGTGGTGCGATCTCGGCCACGGAAACCTCTGCCTCCCGGGTTCAAGTGATTCTCCTGCCTCAGCCTCCCGAGTAGCTGGGATTACAGGCGCCTGCCACCATGACCAGCAAATTTTTGTATTTTTGGTAGAGATGAGCTTTCTTCGCCATGTCTTGAACTCCTGATCTCAAGTGATCTGCCCCCCTCAGCCGCCCAACATGCCATAATCATCTTTTGCATTAGGCCCTATTCACACACTGCCACTGCTCAGGAAGCTAAGTTTCTCTCATCCTGTATATATGCTGCTGAACATTTGAGCATATTGACTTCACTTGAGTCAATATGTAAAAAGCCCTTAGGAATATTAGTTTGTCAAATCCTATTAAAATTCAGAATTTTGATGTGCCTGTCAAGAAAGTTAATATGATGAAAATAATTGAGGACATTTTTTCTAGATAAATAAAGAGGATAATTTGTCTTCAAATATTGAAAGATGAGTCAGATGAAGAGGAATTAAATGTTTAATTTTCCTTAGCATCAGAGGATAAACGTGATAGTAGGATATTTGGTTTTAATAACGTATCATGTTCTCTTACCCTCTTTGTACATTTGAACAGTTCATGTCCTCTCTGAGCTTTATTTTTCTGGTTTGCAAAACAGAAACTGAAAAAGATTAATGCCTCAAAGCATTGATGAAATAATGTACTTGAAATTGTTTAACATAATGTAAGCGTGCTTATTGGGCGTCACGTGGCTTCTCTAAGCGTGTCTTTCTCATCTGCCAAATACTTGTTCCTTCATTCATGCATTTATCTAATACCTTTCACCTTGCTGAACAATGCTCCCTGTCTCTTCAAATCACAGAGACCACCATTTCCTCCTGTGTTTTCTTCCTTCATGCAGTAGCCTGGAACAACGGCAGAAATCATAGCTCCTGCTATGATTTTTTCCTGGGTTACTAGTTTCTAAGGGTCGAGAGTAATTCTGTCAACTTTTAATCCTTCATGGGCAAAAGTGGAAGTCTCTGGTATTCTTTATTGACGTATATATGTGTAAATGTATGTTTAATGTATTTATTAATAATTCCTTACCAAACGTGGCAGTGTGCTGGCATATTTGATGGAATGTGAATAAGATACAATTTTTTTTCCAAAAATCTTAAAATCCTAGGAAGAGAAAACCAAAACAGGCAAACACACTAATAAGTATAATATGATGCATTATATACCAACTGGCCTATGTCACATGTAAAATTATTTGCAAAAAGAGTGCCATAGTGTCACTGGATTGAAGATCTTGGAGAAGCCTTCAGAAGGAGGTGATATATTTGATACAGATCTTGACACACGAAAAGCATTTTAACTGATGGAGAAGAAATGGAAAGCTTTCCATTAAGCCTTCCCCAATCCCTTCAGTCAGAATTTGCTACTCACTCTGTTGTATTTTGTTTTCAGATTTATTGTGTCAATTATCTGTGATTATAGTGTAAGTGTGTAGGTGGATAACTTTATCACCTCTATAATAGCAGCCTCCTTCAAAGCAGGAGCTAGAGTGAAAGTGATTCATCTTTACATCACTCTCCTTCAAATTAGAGTGTAAAGTCCTCTTAATCTAGTAATGCATCTTCTGCCTTTTTGCCAAATGCAACAAATCTGAGAAAATAATATTTATGAAATGAGACCGAAACTGGGTGTTAAATTGAACTGGGGAGAAAGGCTTAGGGAAGGATTGATAACATAAAATGTCACTAAATTGCAGGTCAAATCTCATTATAATATGCTTGAAGGGAATTGGCCAAATTTTCTGTATTGTATTGTATTTTGTCATATTAAGAACTACTTGAAATAAGTAGATCAGTGATAGATTTTTGGTATTTTTTTCCTAACCAAGGATGTTTAATGTTGTGGTATTTGTTTGAACTGGTTTGATCTGCACAAAACTTGGTTATTTATGTGAGATATTTTCTATAAAAACAGACATATGCTTGTAATGACATGAGAAGGTTTGAAAATGAGGTAGGAGTTCCCTCTAGCATCCTTGAGGGAATTTGGAGGAGGAGTAATCAGGAAAAACATACACACAACTATAGCCTTCAGTTTGTCTAAACTTTGAAGTTCAGGAAAAATGTAACATAAATAAATTTAAAATGGGGGAATTACAGATTAGAGTCCTAATAGAGCAGGAAAGTTATGTATTAGGCTTAAAATTGTAACTCACCAAACATTGCAATCAGTAAATATTTAGAAATTAGTGCATTTTATCTAATTAAAAAAATGACGCATACAGTTTTGAACAACAGTCAATAATGTCATTAATATAGGGGTATTATAATTTTGTTTTAGTGAGAGAAGCTGTAGTAGGTTGAATAATGGCTACATTAAAATATCAAGTCTTAATTTCTGGAAAGTGTAAAAATTCCCCATTTTTAATTTTTTATATTACATTTTTAAACATTTTACATTTATAAACATTTTTATACATTTTACTTTTATAAAACTCCCATTCTGAGTTTTATAAATTGAAGATAATGTGAACAATTACACTCAAAATATTAAGATAAAATTTTAAACAACACTATGTAACATAAACATCAGTAATATTATAGGCTTTTATTATGAAGCTTTTGATATAGAGAGTCATTTATTGTATCATGAGTGTGTGGTTTTCAGTATGAGATTAGATGAACTGAAGTTTAGATTGGGGAAGCTAAATGGCCTATAGATCTGATATGAAAATCTTCAATGAGAAGCCTACCTTGGCCTTTCAAGGGCATATTCTTGAAAAGTTCTGTATATGTTTAATATTATCAATCAAATCATGTTTCAATTGTCTCATGGTTAAATCTGGGGTAAAATGTCAAATATATTGACTATTTAATTTTCACTAACTATATTGTCATTTGAAATTTTATATAAAAATGTTAGGCATAAATAGGAACATAGATATTTGCAAAGTTTTGATCTAAGTTTATGAGAATGTTAGTCTATCAAAATGGTACCATTTTAATTAGCAGTTCAATAAACACCTGTAAGTTACGAAATGGCTGTCAATGAATTTGCTTTCTATGAAATATTTTATCAGAAATCAGTTTTGTTCCATAGTCCAGGATTAGTTTGAGATACCCAGCTGTGCATAGTTTAACGGGTTCAAAAGGGACCTGAAGTCCTAGGGCTGATAATGCACAGGCTGGTCTTCATAGAGAGGAGATGGTTGATGTGAAGAATAATGGTGCTGCTACTGTGTTAACTTTGTATACTTTGCATGGGATAGATTGTTTTAATCTTTTAACTGATACAGGTGTTTGTTTTATTATTATTTTCCCCTTTTTCAAATTTTATTTTAGGTTCAGGGTGTACATGTGAAGGTTTGTTAAGTGGGTAAACTGCAGGTAGCTGGGGTTTGGTGTACAAATGATTTTGTCACGCAGGTAAGTAAGCATAGTACTTACAGGTAGTTTTTTGACTCTCACACTCCTCCCAGCCTCCATGCCCAAGTAGCCCATAGTGTCTGTTGTTCCCGTTTGTGTATATGTGTACTCAATGTTTAATTACCACTTCTAAGTGAGAACATACAATATTTGTTTTCTGTTTGGCATAAATTTGCTTAGGATAATGGCCTTCAGTTGCATACACGTTGCTGCAAAAACCGTGATTTCATTCTTTTTTATGACTATATGCACCACATTTTTTAATCCGGTCCACCAGTGATGGGCATCTAGTTTGATTTCATGTCTTGGCTCTTGTGACTAGTGCTGTGATGAACATATGAGTGTGTGTATATTTTTGGTAGAACAACGTATATTTCTTTGCAGCCCAGTAATGGGATTGCTGGATCAAATGGTAGTTCTGTGTTAAGTTCTTTGAGAAATCCCCAAGCTGCTTTCCACAATGGCTGAACTAATTTACACTCCCTCCAGCAGTGCCTAAGAGTTCCTTTTTTTGTACAACCTCACCAGCATCTGTTTTCTTTTGTGGTTTGTTTTTGTTTTTGTTTTGGCCCTTTGATAATAGCCATTGTGACTTGTGTGAGAGGATAGCTCATTGTGGCTTTGATTTGCATTTCTCTAATGATTAGTGATGCTGAGCATTTTTAAATTTGTTTTTTTGACCATGTGTATGTCTTCTTTGTAGAAGTGTCTATTCAAGTCCTTTGCTCATATTTTTTCAGAGGTTGTCTGATTTTGCTTGTTAAGTTTCTTATATATTCTGAACGTTAAACCTTTGTTGGATGCAAAGTTTGCAAATATTTTCTCTCATTCTATAAGTTTTCTGTTTACTCTTTGATAGTTTCTTTTGCTGTGCAGAAGCTGGCTGGTTTAATTATGTCCCATTTGTCTATTTTTGTTTTAGTTGCAATTGCTTTTGAAGACTTCATCATTAAATCTTTGCTGAGGCCTATATCCAGAATGATAGTTGTTAGGTTTTCTTCTAGGGCTTCTATAATTTTAGGTTTTTGATTTAAGTCTTTAATCCATCTCTAGTTGATTTTTGTATATGATGAAAGGAAGGAGTCTGGTTTCAATCGGCTGCATATGGCTTCCCAGTTATCCCAGCACCATTTATTGAACAACGAATCCTTTCCCCATTGCTTGTTATTGTTGACTTTGTCAGAGATCAGATGGTTGTAGGGATGTAGCTATATTTCTGGGTTCTTTAACCTGTTCCATTGGTCTATATGTCTGTTTTTGTAATAGTACCATGCTATTTTGGTTACTGTAGGCTTATAGAATAGTTTGAATATGGGTAGTGTGATGCTTCTGGCATTGTTCTTTTTGCTTAGGATTTCTTTGACTATTTGGGCTCTTAGTTGGTTCCATATAAATTTTAGAATAGTTTTTTCTAATTCTGTGAAAAATGTCATTGGTAGTTTGATAGGAATACTATTAAATCTATAAATTGCTCTCGGCAGTATGGCCATTTCAACAATATTGATCCTCCCTCAAGAGCATGGAAAGTTTTCCATTTGCTTGTGTCATCTCTTATTTCTTCAGCAGTGTTTTGTAATTCTCACTGTAGAAATTTCTTACCTCTCTGCTTAGCTATATTCCTATTTTATTCTTTTTGTGGCTGTTGTGAATGGGATTGTGTTCTTGATTTTTTCTCAGCTTGGATGTTATTGATGTATAGAAATGCTACTAATTTTTGCACATTGATTTTTGTACCCTGAAACTTTACTGAAATTGTTTCTCAGTTCTAGGAGCCTTTTGGCAGAGACTCCAGGGTTTTCTAGCTATAGAATCATAATGTCTGTAAAGAGAGGTAGTTTGACCTCCTCTCTTTCTATTTGGATGCCTTTTTAAAATTTATCTTGCCAGGTTGCTGCAGCTAGTGAGAGGTGGAGCCAGCTGGGCGTCTGGGTCAGGTGGGGACTTGGAGAACTTTTCTGTCTAGCTAGAGGATTGTAAACACATGAATCAGTGCTTTGTGTCTAGCTAAAGGATTGTAAATGCACCAATCAGCACTTTGTAAAAACGCACCAATCAGTACTCTGTAAAATGGACCAATCAGTACTCTGTAAAATGGGCCAATCAGCACTCTGTAAAATGGACTAATCAGCACTCTGTAAAATGGACCAATCAGCAGGACGTGGGCAGGGAACAAATAAGGGAATAAAAGCTGGCCACCCCCGACAGCCAGCAGCAATCACTCGGGTCTTCTTCTGCACTGTGGAAGCGTTGTTCCTTGGCTCTTCACGAAAAATCTTGCTGGTGCTCACTCTTTGGGTCCACACTACCTTTATGAGCTGTAATACGTTACCTGTATGAGCTGTAATGCTCACCGCGAGGGTCTGAGGCTTCATTCCTGAAGTCAGCAACACCACGAACTCACCAGGAGGAACAAACAACTCTGGACATGCCACTTTGAAGAGCGATAACACTCCCTGTGAAGGTCTGCAGCTTCACACCTGAAGTCAGCAACACCACAAACCCACCGGGAGGAACAAACAACTCTGGACGTGCCACCTTTAAGAGCTGTAACAGTTACTGCAAAGGTCTGCCACTTCACTCCTGAAGGCAGCAAAATCACGAACCCACCTGAAGGAAGAAACTCCAGGCACATCTGAAGGAACAGACTCCGGACACACCATCTTTAAGAACTGTTAACACTCACCGCGAGGATCCACGGCTTCATTCTTGAAGTCAGCGAGACCAAGAACCCACCGGAAGGAACCAATTCCGGACACACTAGGACTTTCAGTACTATGTTGAATAGAAGTGAGAGTGGGCATCGTTGTCTTGTTCCAGTTAGTTTTTTTAAGTAACTACAGTTGAGCCTGGAACAACATGGCTTTGAATTGCATGGGTCCAACTATATGTGGATTTTTTTAAATAAAAGTTACACCAAGTATGCCTGCCTCTCCTGGTTCCACTTCCATCTCCTCCGTGTCTTCTGCCTCTGCTACCCCTGAGACAGCAAGACCAACCCCTCTTCTTCCTCCTCCTCCTCAGCCTACTCAATGTGAAGACACTAAGAATGAAGGCCTTTATGATGATCAACTTCCAAATAGTAAATGCATTTCCTTTCTTACAATTTTCTTAATAACATTGTCTTTTCTCTAGCTTGCTTTATTGTATATAAAGAAATAGAGTATATGATAGATAACCAGGATCCTTTTTAAAAGAATAATTAGGCCGGGCGTGGTGGCTCACGCCTGTAATCCCAGCACTTAGGGAGGCTGAGGTGGGTGGAGCACAAGGTCAGGAGTTCGAGACCAGCCTGGCCAACATGGTGAAACCTTTTCTCTACTAAAAATACAAAAATTAGCCGGGTGTGGTGGCAGGCTCTTGTAATCCCAACTACTCGGAAGGCTGACGCAGGAGAATCACTTGAACCCAGGAGGCGGAGGTTGCAGTGAATTGAGATTGTGCCACTACACTCCAGCCTGGGCAACAGAGCAAGACTCCATCTCAAAAAAAAAAAGAATAATTAAATATAAGAATACAGTATATTATACGTACACAAGATATGTTAATCAACTCTTTACATTATTGGTAAGGCTTCTGGTAAATAGGAAGATACTAATAGTTGGGGGAGTCAAAAGTTATATGTGGATCTTCAGCTGTGCAAAGGTTCAGCCTTAACCCCCATGTTGTTCAAGGGTCAAACTGTAATTAAAATTTTCTTCTTATGTTAGATTTGATATGGTAGAGTATTTGTTTTTTACATTGAATGTGTATTAGTGTGCTAGAGCTGGTATAACAAATGCCACAGACTGGATGGCTTTAACAACAACCAAAAATTACTTTCTCAAAATTTTGTATGCTAGAAGTCCAAGATAAAGATGTCATAAAAAATTAGTTTCTTCTGAGGCCTTCTTCTTTGGCACATAGATGGCCAGCTTCCTAGTGTCTTCACATCACCTTCCCTGTGTATGTGTCTGTATCCTAATCTCCTCTTCTTATAAGAACACAAGTCAAATTGGTTTAGGGTTCAGTGTAATGACCTCATTTAACCTTGATTTTATCGTTAAAGTCCTTTTCTCCAAGTATTATCACATGCTGAGGAGGATTAGAACTTTAGTGTGTAAATTTTGGGCAAACACAAACCACGCAGATAGTTACCTTCGGATAAGAAACATTTGTATTTATGTACTGTAAGAGTACACAGATCTACTATACAAATGTAATTAATCATGTAAAAAGGGTACATAGATATATGGTTCTTTCTATCACATGGAAAAACACACTAGAAAGATAGTAGAATTTACTATATATTTTCCCTCCCTTTATTGTATAGGTTATGGAAATGCCCAATTTTATAAAAGGCAACAATATTCTTCCATGATGTGTACTATAAAGAATACGTAAATCTTCATTCACCACAAGATATGAACCAGTGTCTCTTCAGATCAAATTATCCTTGGAATTCATAGTGTACTCTATGATCAATGGGAGTTTCAACTGTGCTTCTCCCAGACTGTATTAACATGAACAATGATACCATTTAAAGTCTGTCGCCATTTTCAGGTGGTGTATTATCAGTGTTTCAAAAAGAGCAAGTTGGGGCAATATTTCATGAGCCATATGCTGTGAGATACTAATACATGCTACATGAAAAATAGTTTCTGTTGCCAAGTAATTTTGGAAATTCTTCGTTAAAGATGTTTCCATGTGAAAGCATTTCTTATAGTTTAAAATGTTCTAAAGTGAAATAATATGGTGGAATATAACATGGAACATACCTGAAACTTATTTTATCATAGAAAATTTTGTGGAATAAGCATCTCAGAACACGTATTTTGAATCAGGAAGGATAGGAAGTCTTTCTGTTACTAAATACGATCCCTCCCTCTTTAAAAACTTTCTGGGTATTCATCTTTTATTTATTTTACTTATTGTATGATGCCTTTTATTATTAGCATCTATGCAGGCAAAATGATTTTGTAATTGACCCAAAGCCAAACAGCCACTAAAACACACAAGCAAAATTTGAATACAAGGTTAGTGTTTTATTTTGTTTTAACTTTAAAACCCTCACTCTTTTCAGTCTACTATTAATCTGGGCTTTCACGCCAGCCCCTGTGGGCATACTCCTGTATTCTCAGCTACTTGGGGGCTGTGTGGCAGGAAGATCCTTTGAGCCCAGAAGTTGGAGGTCAGCCTAGGCAACATAGCAAGTCTCCGTCTCAAAAAATAAAATAAAATAAAAATAAGTACTTATAGAGCTACAAAAATCCTAGAGCTTCCTTATAACATACACCAGCTAGTTACACTAACTAGTTAATGGCTAGGTTAACACTTATGGCTTTCCTACAAAAGAGCACTTCCATACCTTGAAGAAATATTATCTAGTTATGAAGTGCTATATTTGCTAGAGAGCATTGCCACTCAAATGTATTGTTTACTGTCTATGAGTTTTTAAGAGTCTAAATTTAGATAGGATTTTGAGACTCAGTGAGCTCCAATGATTCATCATAGATAAATTATATAAAACCTACAAAAATTTGAAGACACAAGGTAGAAACATTTTTGAAAGATGAAGGGGTTTTGTGATACAAAGACTGTAAAATTGGGACTTTGTCTTCAAGAGACGATGATGACATGAACACTAGAATGTGCTCATTTTTCTGGAATAATTCTGATATTCCTATTTGTTGACATAACATCTCTAGTTATCAGCTCCACCTATTCAATAGTATTGCTTCAATGAGCAAATATGAACGACTAGAGAAAAGAGACTTTAAGATTCATAATTATTCTCAAACTTTAATTATGTCAGTTCATATTTATTACTGTGCCTGAATTTCAGCTATGATTGAGGAAGCAGTAGTATTTATTATTACATTATGATTTCCAGTAATTTATAAGATTCAAGTCGGCCACATAAAGACTGCTAATAGTAGTATTTGTAAAAACTCACCAGAATGCCTCATTTAAAATCTAATTAAAGCAATCTATGAAGTAATTAATATAAACTTACAGTTTTGAACAAAAAGAGAGGAAAAAGGAAAACCTTTCTCAGTTTGACACCTCAAAGTAGAAGTAATTTCAGTCCTTTTATCAAAATAGAGTCTTTTGCTTAATAAAGACTACATTAAAAAACATGAGGTTTCCTATTTATTTCCTTCTATCTTCTAAGGTCCTTATCATTATGCATGAGGACTTCAGTCTCCAGAATCCACAGGATCAGGACAGTTAAGAATGAAATAACTGGAACATCAGGTTAGACACAGGCTACAATTTACAGCCGCAGCCGAAATAGTGTTTGTAATAGTTTACTACTTGAAATTCAGACTTAAATTACTATTTAGCCACACACTGAAATATAACAATTTAAATTCATTAAATTACAGTTAATAGCATCTCAATACCATCTATCATAAATCATTGCATATTTAAAATGACTCTGGTAAACCATTCAATAAATATTTCTTCCTCATATTTTTCACAGCTAAAAATGGATGTTGGGGCATACCAATTCATATACGCCTATTTCTAATAAATGAAGCCGGAGAACAAGAAGTAACTTAACTAAATTAGCTCCTAAATCAACTTAGTGGTAATCTGGGTAGCTGATTGAAAATAAAGTCCCAAAGAATACTCGTGTATGACAAAAATCAAGAGCCCTAGAAAAGAAATCAGGACAGTGGGGATCTAGTTACTAAACATGTTTCTCTTTTCTTTCTTTCTTTTTTTTTTTTTGGCGGGGGGGATACATTCTATCTCTGTCACCCAGGCTGGAGTGCAGTGGTGCAATCTTGGCTAACTGCAACCTCCGCCTCCCGGGTTCAAGCCATTCTTGTGCCTCAGCCACCCGAGTAGCTGAGATTACAGGTGCAGCCTCCATGCCCGGCTGATTTTTGTATTTTTAGTAGAGAAAGGCTTTCGCCATTTTGGCCAGCCTGGTCTTGAACTCCTGACCTCAAGTGATCTGCCCGCCTCAGCCTCCCAAAGTGCTGGGATTACAGGTGTGAACCACCGAGCCCAGCCCTCTTGACTATGCTTCCGTTACTGGTGTGAAAAGGAAAATCACTTCAACTCCCTGAATATCAGTTCTCCATCAGTCAGATGAAGAGGGTAAAGTTAAGTTTTCTGATGTCTAGTTCCAAAGACTCTATCTTCTTAACTGAATTTTTTTAGTGTTCTGAGTATCGAATTCTATGTATAGCATTTAACTTTGTGACAGTGACTCTTATAAATATGAAATGGGCACATTTGTCATGACTGTGTTTTCAGACAGGTTTGTTAACTGAGAAATAATTCACATATCCAATTCACCCATCTAAAGTGTGCAGTAAATGACTTCTAGTGTATTCATAGAGTTATGCAGACATCACCACAATCAATTTTAGAACCCTTTCATTACCCAGAAAAAAAACCCTGTACACTTTGGCCGTCACCCTCATCCCAAAATTTCCCATCCCTCCCAGCCTTAGGCAACCACTAAAGCACTTCTGTATAGATTTGCCAATTCTGGTGTTTAATATAAACGGAATCATGCAATATGTGGTCCTTTGTAAATGGTTTATTTTTTAATGACAAAGTATTTTGAAGGTTCATTCATCTTCTAGCATGTTTCAGTACTTTATTTCTGTTTCTACTCCTAGTTATATACCCAAAAGAAATAAAAACGAATACTGCCAAAAAAGCTTTTATGTGAATGTTCATAGCAGCATTATGAATGGAAAAATAAAATGTGAGTATATCCATTTGGAATAATGGAATATTATTAGTTAGACAATAATTATTAATTATAATTATTATTATTGTAAATTGTAACATTATTAATAGCAATGGAACATTATTTCTGAATAATATTCTCAATGTTATTTCTGAATAATATTCTCAATAATCCATTATGTGGATATACTCTCATTTTATTTTTCCATTCATAATGCTGCTATGAACATTCACATAAAAGCTTTTTTGGTAATATTTGTTTTTATTTCTTTTGGGTGTATAGGTAGGAGTAGAACTGCTGGGTCATACGGTAATTCTGTGGTTAGCTTTTTGAGGAAAATCTTGTCTGTTTTCTAAAGCGGCTGCTCCGTTGTACATTCCTGCCATCAGCATACCAGAGTTGCAGTGTCGCTACATTCTCATTCTTGCCAACGCTTGTTATCGTCTTTGTTTGTTTACTGACATCTTAGTGGTTATAAAGTGGTATTTCACTGTGGTTTTCATTTCCATTTCTTTGATTAATAATGTTGAATGTCTTTTCATTTGTTTTTTGGCCAATTATGTATATTCTTTAAAAAATGTCAATTCGAAACCTTTGCCCATTTTGAAAATTAGACTTTATGTCTTTTCATTATTGAGTGGTACGAGTTCTTTATATAGCTTAGACACAATTCTCTTATCAACCACATGATCTGCAAAAATTCTCTCCCGTTTTGTAGGTTTTCTTTTCACTTTCCTTATGGTGTTTTTGGAACCAGAAAGTTTTTTATTTTGGTGTGAAGTCCAGTACACACACACACACACGTATACATACACAGACACACACCTATATAGACACTCTCATTTATATGTGTGTATATATATATATATGTGCCTATACTTTTGCTGTCATATTAAAGAGAGCTTTGTCCAATTGAATTTTCAATTTTCACCTCAACATGAACTTGGAATAAAAAACTCACAATACCAAACATGTGCTTCAGACTGTCAGATAATATTTCAAGTTTACACAATGACATAAAACCTCATGTTATGTTAATTTATGTATAACTTTTGGTAGTAAAATGCAAATATAGATGTCTTATACGTATGTATTTTGAGATAATTTAACCGTCAATAACTTTTTATGTTTTATTTTTTTTTATTTTAGAAGTTTTAGATTCACAGAAAAGTTACTAAGATAGCACAGAGAGTTTGTTTGTTTGTTTGTTTTTTGAGACAGGGTCTTGCTCTGTTGCCCAGGCTGGAGTGCAGTGGCACGATCTCAGCTCACTGCAACCTCCACTTCCTGGGTTCAAGGGATTCTCCTGCCTCAGCCTCCTGAGTAGCTGGGATTACAGGTGCATGCCACCACACCCAGATAATTTTTGTATTTTTTAGTAGAGACGGGATTTCACCATGTTGGTCAGGCTGGTCTCGAACTCCTGACCTCGTGATCTGCCCACCTCGGCCTCCCAAAGTGCTAGGATTACAGGCATGAGCCACTGCACCTGGCCTTTGTTTTTTTTGTTTTTGTTTGTTTGTTTGTTTGTGTGTTTGTTTTGAGACAGAGTCTTCCTCTGTCACCAGGCTGGAGTGCAGTGGTGGCATGATCTCAGCTCACTGCAACCTCCACCTCCCAGGTTCAAGCGATTCTCCTGTCTCAGCCTCCCGAGTAGCTGGGACTAAAGGTGCCCGGCACCACACCTGGCTAATTTTGTATTTTTAGTAGAAACAAGGTTTCACCACCTTGGCCAGGGTGGTCTTAAACTCCTGATTTCAAATGATCCACCCACCTCGGCCTCCCAGAGTGCTGGGATTACAGGTGTGAGCCACCATGCCCAGCCACACAGAGAGTTTTCATGTACTTTGCACCCAGTTTTCCCTATTATTAACTTCTTAGCCAGGTGCACTGACTCACACCTGTAATCCCAGTGCTTTGGGAGGCTGAGGCAGGAGGATTGCTTGAGTTCAGGAGTTAAGAGACCAGCCTGAGCAATATAGCAAGACCTGATGTCTACTTAAATAAATAAATACATAAATAATAAAAACCTGTCCAGGCATGGTGGGACAAGCCTGCAATCCTAGCTACTCAAGAGGCTGAGGCAGGAGGGTCACTTGAGCCCAGAAGGCCAAGGCTGCAGTGAGCTATGATCACACTAGCCTGGGTGAAGGAGGAAAAGGAGGAAGACCTTGTCTACAAAAAAAAAAAAAAAAAAAAAAAAGATTCTTATATTAGTATGTTGCATTTGTCTCAATTAATGAGCCAACATAGATATAGTATTATTAGCTAATATTCACATATTATTTAAATTTCCTTAGTTTTTATGTAATGTCCTTTTTAACAGAAAACCACACTGCATTTAGTCACCCTGTCTCCTTACGCTCCTGTTATCTGCAACAGTTTCTCAAACTATCCTTGTTCTTGATTACCTTGTCCTTTTGAAAAGCACTGGTCAGATAGTTTATAGAACAATCTTTAGTTGGTATTTGCTTAATGATTTTCTCATGATTAGACTGAGGCTCTGAGTCTCTGGGCGGAAGACTACAGAGGTAGAATGCCATTTTAATCCATTATAACAAGCATACATTCTATCAATGTGATTTCTTTGTCATGGCATACTGTTATCCTTGATCACAGGGTTGGGGTAGTATTTATCTGATTTCTCCACTGAAAAGTTATTCTTTTTTCACCTATTCGTACTGTAATCTTTGGAATAAAGTCACTATGCGTGGTCCACCTTATGTTCCACTACCTTGAGGGCAGAATATCCTCAGATATTATTTGGAATTATTCTGCATAGAAGATTTGTCTATTCTCTCCCAGTTTAAATTACCTGATCATTTATTTGTAGCAGTATGGACTCACGCATATTTATTTTATACTTTGGGTTATAATCCACTACTACTTTACTGATTTTTGTCATTCAATTTGTTTCAACTTTGAACATTGGGAGCTTTTGCAGTTGGATCCTATGTCCCTTAGACATATTATTGTGGGATTTATTTATTTATGTATTTATGTATGTGTGTACATGTTTAGTGCTTTCTTCCTTTCTGGCACTATGCAATACTATAGACTTACCATGTATCCTCTCTGTCCATTCCTACAATCAGGCATTTCTTCCAAGAGCCCTGGTTTCTTTTTATTGGAAAATGGTACTAGACTGGGCGCAGTGGCTCACACCTGTAATCCCAGCACTTTAAGAGGCTGAGGTGGGCAGATCGCCTGAGGTCAGGAGTTTGAGACCACCCTGACCAACATGGTGAAACCCCGTCTCTACTAAAACTACAAAAATTAGCCAGGCATGGTGCCGGGTGCCTGTGGTCCCAGCTACTCAGGAGGCTGAGGCAGGAGAATCACTTGAACCCAGGAGGTGGAGGTTGCAGTGACCTGAGATCACGCCACTGCACTCCAGCCTGGGCGACAGAGCAAGACTGTCTCAAAAAAAAAAAAAAAAATAGTACTAGAAAGGATCTGGGCTCTAGGTAGACTGGTTGTGAACAAGGGTCTTTGCTTCTGGAATCTATTAGCTGATATCCAATGATGTTTTGGTCAGTGACCAACTGCATTTATGATGGTGGACCCATAAGATTATAATGGAGCTGAAAAATTCTTAGCGCCTACTCACATTGTAGACATGGTAACGTCATAAGGCAATGCATTACCTTTTCTGTGGTTGATACATTTAGATACACAAATACTCACAATTGTGTTACAGTTGCCTACAGTATTCGGTGCAGTAACACACTGTACAGATGTGTAGCTTAGGAGGAATAGGCTATACCATATAGCCTACATGTGTAGTAGGCTACACCACCTAGTTTGTGTAAGTATATTCCATGATTTTTGCACAATGATGAAATGCATTTCTCAGAATGTATCCCTGTCACTAAGTAATACAGGAATGTATATGTATCCATATGTAACTATATTAAGCTAAACATGGGGTAATATTAAGGTCTCCAACTAAAATTCACCACCACATTGATCATCCTAGCTTTTTTTCTTGCTTATCTGTAATCTCCCACTCCAGCAGTCACAAAACATGGCTGTCACCATCTGTGATCCATTTATTTACTCAGTTCTGGTGTACATGTACAGTGGGTTCAGAACTCCTTAGCCATACATTTACAGGGAATACCCTTATTAACCACAAATGATTTCCAAAGTTGCTTAGGTCAGCACTGATTCCCTTTAGTGAGATTTTAATAGTATACATAGTAAGATCCTTTTGTCACACTCTCCATGTCGTACTGAGAACCTCCAATCTTCTAAATATATATTTTAAATTTGCATACATTAATAGTCACTCTGTGTGTAAAGGTCTATGTGTTTTGACAAATTCACCATGCCGTGTGTCCACATCAGGCTCCTACAGAATAATTTTCACACTCTAAAGTAATCCCCTTAGCTTCACCAAGTTAACCCGACTGTACTTTGAACCCTGCCAAACACTGCTCTGTTTACCATCTGCACGGTTCTGTCTTGACACAGAAATGTAATTATAAAGGATATAATTTTTTCATGCTGTCTTCTTTCAATGAAAAATAAACATATAATATGTATCCATGTATTTTCATGACTTGGTAGCTCATTCCTTTTTATCTATGAGTAATATTCCACTGTATGGTGTACCATAGTTGTCCATCAACTTATTGTAGGACATCTTTGTTGCCTCCAAGTTTTGGCAATTATGAATAAAGCGGCTATAAAATTTTGCTTACAAGCATTTATATGAACATAAGTTTTCAAATAAGTTGGGAGAATACCAAAACGTGTGATTGCTGGATGTTATGGTAATACTATGCTTAGCTTTGTAAGAAACTGCCGATAACCGGGTGCGGTGGCTCACACCTGTAATCCCAGCGCTTTGGGAGGCCGAGGTGGGTTGAACACAAGGTCAGGAGTTCGAGACCAGCCTGACCAACATGGAGAAACCCCGTCTCTACTAAAAATACAAAAATTAGCCAGGCGTGGTGGTACCTGCCTGTAATCCCAGCTACTCAGGAGGCTAAGGCAGGAGAATTGCTTGAACCCAGGAGGCAGAGGTTGCAATGAGCTGAGAGTGTGCCACTGCACTCCAGCCTGGGCGACAGAGTGAGGCTTTGTCTCAAAAAAAAAAAAAAAGAAACTGCCAAACTGCTTTCTAAAGTGGCTGTGAAATCCCACCACTTCAAAGTCCCGTTTTGAAATCTCACCACCAATTAATGAAAGTTCCAGTTGGGTCTTCACCAATTAATATTTTCTGTATGTTTTGTTTTGTTTAATGTTAGCCATTCTATGTAGTGTTATTTAGTTTTTGTTTTTATTTGTGGTTCTAATGGCAAATGATGTTGGAAATCTTTTTTTTTAAATTTTTTATTTATTTATTTTTTTTGAGATGGAGTCTCGCTCTGTCACCAGGCTGGAGTGCAGTGGCACAATCTTGGCTCACTGCAACCTCTGCCTCCCAGGCTCAAGTGATTCTCCTGCCTCAGCCTCCCGAGTAGCTGGGACTACAGGCGCCCACCACCACGCCCGGCTAACTTTTTGTATTTTTAGTAAAGACGGGGTTTCACCATGTTGGCCAGGATGGTCTCTATCTCTTGACCTCGTGATCCACCTGCCTCGGCCTCCCAAAGTGCTGGGATTACAGGTGTGAGCCACCACGCCCAGCCTGGATATATTTTTTAATGGTTATTTTTTATCTATCATCTAACTGTTTATCTATTGATATCATGTTGCTGATGTGGATAGTTAAATTTTTGCCAATTGTTTAGTTGTGTTGTTCATTTTTTATTATGGAGTTTTAAGAGTTCTTTCTGTAGTTTATACACAGATCTTTTGTCAGATATATGTTATTCAAATATTTTCTCCTAGTCTGTGGTTTAACTTTTCAATCTCTTAACTCTGTACTTCATTTGTCAGAAGTTTACATTTTAATCGATTCTAACATCATTTTCCCCTTTACTATTGAAATTGTTGTGTTGAATCTAAAGTCTCATCACCAAACCAGAGGTCACATAAATAAGTTTTTTCTCCTTTGTTTTCTTCTAGAAGTTTTCAAGTTTTGCATTTTCAAGTTAATGATTCAGTTTAATTTTAGTATAAGGTGTGGATTCTATGCCTAGATTGATTTATTTGTTTTTGCATGAGTGTCCAAGTCCAATTGTTCCAGTAGTTTTTTGAAAACACCATACTTTCTCCATTGAAGTGCCTTTGCTCATTTGTCAAAAATCACTTAGCTATATTTTTATCAGTCTATTTCTGGGCTCTCTCTGTGTTCCACAGTTGTGTGTCTATTCTTTCATCAAAACCATGTTGTCTTGATTTCTGTAAGTTTTACAATGTCTTAAAATCAGGTAGTGGGGGTCTTCCAACTTTGTTCTTTCTAGATATTGTGTTAATTATTCTTGATATTTTGTCTTTCCATACACATTTTACAATCAGTTTGTCCATATTTACTCATAGTTTGCTGGAATTTTGACAATGTGTGCAAGGAGTCTACAGATGAAGTTGGATAGGACTGACGTTTAACCAATCTTGTGTCTTCCAATCTATTTAGTAATATTTAATTTTTTCATCAGTGTTTCATAGTTTCCACATATTTATTTTGTTAATACTGTATTTTGGTGCTACTATGTATTTTGTGTTTTTTTTTAATTTTCAAATTTCAATTATTCATTGCTGGTATATAGAGGAACAACTGACTTCTGTATATTGACCTTGTTATTTTTCCTTATTTATTTCAGTTTTGTTTTGTTTTGTTTTCCTGGGCAGAGATTTGGGTAGGGTAGATACTTTTGAGTTTTCTATATAGACAATAATATCTGTAGGATGTTGAATAGGAATTGTGAAAGAGGACATCATTGCTTTGTTCCCAGTCCAGAAGAGAAAGAGTTTCTCACTATTAAGTATCATATTAACTATAAGATTTTTATATATTTTAAAAATCAAGTCGAGAACTTCTGTCTATTCCTAGTACTCCAAGAGTTTTATTATGAATGGACGTTGAATTTTTTCAGATGATTTTAATGTCAAATTATATGCTTATGCAATTTTCTTTTTTAGCCTGTGGATTACATTAGTGATTTACTAATGTTGAACCTGTCTTGAATACCTGGAATAAATCCTGCTTGATTATGGTGTGTAATGATTGTCATACATTATTGGATTTGGTTTGATAATTTGTAGAGGACTTTTATGTCTGTATGCATGAGAAAGATTGGTATGTAGTTTTCTTTTCCTGTAATGTCTTTATCTGATTTTTGTATTAAAATAATTTGGAATTAAGACAATTTTGGAATTAAGATAATTGTAGCCTCATAGAATAAGTCAGGAAGTATTCCTTTTGCTCCATTTCTGAGGAAAATTGGTATTATTTCTTCATAAATGTCTGATAGAATGCAGCAATGAAATTATTTGGATCTGGTGTTTTTTTATTTTTAAAGCTTATTACTTTTTGATTCGATTTATTTGGCAAGTATAGAGCTGCTTATATTAATATTTCTCCTAATATGAGTTTTGATTGTTTATGTCTTTTAAGAAATGGGTCCATTTAAGTTATCAAATGTATGGGAATGTAATTGTTCACAATATTCCTTTATTAGTCCTTTAAAATCCCTGAAATTATTAGTAGTGATGCCTCCTCTTTCATAACTGATTTCAATAATTTATGTCTTTCTCTCTCGTCATGGTTATCCTGGCTAGAGGTTTATTTATTTTATTGATCTTTTCAAAAAACAATGTTTTAATTTCCTTGATTTTTTACATTGTTTTTGTTTTAAAATCATTGAATATTGCTTGATTTTTTTATTTTCTTCTGCTTGCTTTAAGCTTTATTAAGTCTTTTCCCTCACTTTCCTGAGAAAGAGGCTAAGTTGTTAATTTTAGATCTTAATTATTTTTAATTTATAAGTTTAGTGCTATAAATTTCTATCTAGGCACTGTTTTTGCAGGAGCTCACAAATGTTCTGTTGTACTTTTGATTCCATTTAGCACACTATATTTTTCTTTTATCTTCAGATTATCTTATTTACTTAATATCTTATTATCTATATCTTATTTAGAAATATGTTGCTTAATCTCTATTTATTTTTGGATTTTCCAAATATCTTTCTGTTACTGATTTTCAGTTTAACTCCATTGCACAGAAAGTACATACTTTGTATAATTTCCACAGTTTTAATTGGCTGAAGGGTCTTTTATGACCCAGGATGGGCTTTATTTATATTGGTGAATATTGTATGCAAGCTTGAGAATGTATATTCTGCTCCTGTTGAATGGGATATTCTACAAATGTCAATTAGATTAAATTCATTGATGGTGCTTTTCAAATCCCCTGTATTCTTACTGATTTTCTGCCTGCTTGATCTATTGAACACTGACTAAGGGGTGCCGAAGTCTCTAATTATAATAGTGGAATTATCAATTTCTCCTTTTATGTATGTATGTATGTATGTATGTATTTTGAGACAAAGCCTCACTCTGTTGCCCAGTCTGGAGTGCAGTGGCGTGATCTCAGCTCACTGCAAACTTCACCTCCTGAGTTCAAGTGATTCTCCTGCCTCAGCTTCCTGAGTAGTTGGGATTACAGGCATGTGCCACCACGCCCAGCTAATTTTTGTATTTTAGTGGAGATGGGGTTTTGCCACATTGGCCAGGCTGGTCTCAAACTCCTGACCTCGGGTGATCCACCCACCTTGGCCCCGCAACGTGTCATTTATTTTCATGTTCTATTGTTAAAGGCATATACATTTTGTAGCGTTATGTAGATCCAAGTCTCTTACCTGTATCATTTCTTTCCATTTGAAGAACGTGTAACTTTATTGTAGAAAGATCTGCTGGTAATTAGTTTGTGTTAGTCTGAATGAGTCTTTATTTCTCCTTTAATTTTAAAGCACAATTTCTGTAGGTATAGCTATAGATCTAGGTTGGTGGGGTATTTTTTTCTTTTAAGAAGATAAGCGTTCTATTCTACTCTCTTCTTGTTTACATTGCTTCCAATAGATGTGTAACTTCCAATTCTTTCCCTTCTACAGTTAACATTTCTCTCTTCATCTCAAGATATTCACTACTGGTATTTAAGTCATACCCATGTTACACCTTTTAAAATTGTCCTAAAATGATTTCATGTTCTATCATGTTTTTCCCCATTCTTTTTTTCGCTTTGCATTTCTGTTTGGGAAGTTTCTATTGACCTATCTTCAGGTTCACTGACTCTTTCCTTGGTCCTGTCAAATCTACTAATGAGCCTGTTAAAGGCACCCTTTACTTCTGTTAGTATACTTTTTATTTCTAGTATTTCCTTTTAAAACCTTGTTAGAGTTTTCATCTTGCTGTCTGCTTGCATTGCCCATTTGTTTTTAAACTTTGTTAATTTTTTTGTTAGAGCCCCATATTAGTTTGTTCTCACACTGCTAATAAAGACATACCCGAGGCTGAGTAATTTATAAAGAAAAAGAGGTTTAACAGACTTACAGTTCCACATGGCAGCGGAGGCCTCACAATCACGGCAGAAGGCAAAGGAGGAGAAAGTCGTGTCTTAAGTGGTGGCAGGCAAGAGAGAGCGTGTGCAGGGGAACTCCCCTTTATAAAACCATCAGATCTCATGAGACTTATTCACTATCACAAGAACAGCCTTGGAAAGGCCTGTCCCCATGATTTAATTACCTTCCACTGGGTCCCTCTCATGACACATGGAAATTATGGGAGCTGCAATTAGAGATTTGAGTGGGGATACAGCCAAACCATATCCAGCCCTTGACCAACTAATCATAATTTAAAATATTTATCTTATAACTTCATCATCTGTGTCATAGCTGAGTCTGGTTCTGAACCTTTTTTGTGTCTCCGATTTTTTTTTTTTTTTTTGCCATTTAGCAAGTCTTGTAATATTTTCAAGTTAATATACTGTTTAGTTAATAGGAACTAAGGAACTGAGGTACATAGGTGAATAGAGGGGGTACTTCTGTTAATTTGTCTAAGATTTAGCCTATATTTAGTATCTGCTGTAGCTAAGGTGGCAGAGGCTTCATCTTTCTCTAATGTCCCTATCTGTATTCCCTTTTTTACCTTTCAGCTTCCGTAAGTACTCTTCTTCCGAGAGTCTGTCCTGCAGCTCTTTCATCTATAATCTTGTTTTATTTTACTGAAGGTCTGTCACTGTGGTGGAAAGTTGTGGCAGAGGGGGAATGTTTTATAATCTTATGAGTAATCTTGGTCTTTAAATGGGCCTGTGTCTCTGGCCTATAACCTTCACATATGTTTCTCTGGTGATTTTTGTTTGTTTGTTTCATTTTTGGGCCCTCATTCCCTCTACTCTCTTCCCATACTGCAGTCTTCCCAGTCTATTTTTTTGAATTTTTGCCTTCCCATTGACTATATTTTTATCCTTCCATAAGAGAGACAGAAAGGCTAAAGTGGACAGGAGTAGAAGGAATAATGGATAATCCTTGGCCAAAGCCATTTACCCTAGAAAGAAGGTCTCTGTTAAGGAGAAAGGTCAGATATGTTTCACAATGATTACTCTTTCCCTCCCTCTGACAGAGCCAGGAGGTGAACTTTGTTCTTCACTATGAGAGCCTGGTGTGGTTCCTAGAGTTAAAACCCATGGAAACTTGGCCTACAAGCCTATGGTCCTCTGGAGACTCTCACTTTCCACACCAGTCCACTTCCACACCAGTCCACTTCCACACCAGTCCACTTCCACGCCAGTCCACTTCCACACCAGTCCACTTCCACGCCAGTCCACTTCCACACCAGTCTACTTCCACACCAGTCCACTTCCAGTGATTTATCACACCTGTCCACTTCCAGCAATTTATCAAAATTACCATTTAAGTGCTCACTGGTTTATGGCTATGGTAGCTTCAATTCCAGTTAAGGAAATCTCATCTACGTCTCTCTGGATGAATCTGTTTCTCCAGATTTTAGAATGGCTATTTGCCCTGCAATCTCATTTCTTTGATAGGTCCGTGATAAGTCATTGCCCAGTTTTTTTTTTATATGAGAAGGGATTACTTCCAAGGACTTTGAAGCTAAAACCAATAGTACCACCATGATTTTATTTAAAAAAAATAAGAGAACAGTAAAGATAAGGTAATATGTATTCTTGATCCTCAGCAAGATACAAAGAGACATAGAAAGAGAGATGAACACACAGAAAGAGAGAGAGATCCTTTAAAGGTACACACACAGAAAGATAAACACACAGAAAGAGAGAGAGATCCTTTAAAGACTGTGGTACTTTAAATACTAAAACACTAGACACCACAGGCTTGATCAGGCTTCATCATGAAGTCATGATTATTTGTGGATATTAATAGAGTAAAATGTGAATAGCTCATAAAGAGTTAATTTATATAATGAATAGAAATATAACAACAGGGATCTACAACGTGTAAGTCAAAGACATAGGCAGATGAGATATAATAATAGAAATAAATAATTTTTATATTCTACCTCTGTTGATTTGATGGACACACTGTAAGCTGATCCTTGATAATTCCTTTTTCCTAGTGTCTACATTTGATTGTAATTCCTTCCTATTAATGTGAGTGGATTATGTGACTTCCTTCTAACCAATAATATAGATTAATAGTACAGGTGATAAGATGCCACTTCCATGATTCCATTATACCTTATAAAAAATACTGTCTTTGCAGACTAGTGGGACACTCCCCTGCTGAACCTGAAAAAGCAAGGTACTATGACATACTACATACCACCTATGCAGAGGAACATGTGACAAGAAGCTATGGTAGTCTATTCCAGCCTTAGGCAGGACCTGAGGGTGACCCCCAAGCAACAGTTTGCAAAAAGCAGGGTACTCAGTCCTGCTGAAGACATGGATGCTTCCAACTCCCTGGTTTAGCTTGGATATGGATTCTTCCCCATCCGACCATCCAGATGAAAACACACCCAGGCTAATACCTTGATTGCAACTGCAGCCTTTTGACATGTTGTGTAGAGAGTCCCGCTACACCATGCCAGACTTCTGACCCACAGAAACTGTGAGGGGATAAGCACACATTTTGTGGTATGTTTGTGGTAATTTGTTACACAGCAATAAAAAGCCAGTGTAGTTGATAACATAAATGTTTATGGGATAGTCTTTTTGAGAAAATAAAAAACTTAAATTTAAGGGAAAGAAGGGAAAAAAAAGAAAATTAGAGATCCAGTTTGACTTTTATATTGTGAGATTATTGTTTATATTAAAAGGAAACCGGAAAATAAGTGTAGTATACATTAAAATCTAAAGACTATAAATGTAAATTTTGTTTTTATGCTGTAGAAGACTCAGTTGCTTTATGCAGTGATTATGACTTTCATGGCATATTGGAAAGAGGAACGCTACAGGCTCTGGGTAGATATGACCTATAGGAGCTGTCATTGCTGCTTCCCAAATGTTTCCAACCTTCTGAATTACGCTTCCTGACCTCCCTGTGAGTCAAGAATGGGACCATACAACCTCATTGACCGTGATCATATGATTGTCAGGGTAAGGGACATGGTTCAGCTGTATGCTAAAGCATTTAATTGCTGTTTTAAGATTACTTGTTCCCTCTGTTACAAAAAATAGTGGACTTGGAGATGTTACGTTCTCTATTGCCCTGGATCCTTAAAAAATTGGGATAAGCAGGTGTCTGTTATCAGTCCATAATGGGCATGTCACATGAAATTACTCAACTTTTATTATGTTTCCTCAAGGATACAGTGGGAGAAATAATAATATCTCACTCTTAAGGTTATTAGGACTAAATGAAGTAAGTCAAATTTTTTAGAGTAATGTCTTCCAGGCTCATACATGTTGTCACAATGGCATGATTTCCTTCTCGTTAAAGGCTGACTAGCATTCTATTCTGTATATATGCTATATTTTCTTACTTACATTTAAAGTATTGTATTCCATTCTAAAGTCAAGTATTCCATTCTGTATATATGCCTTATTTTTTATATGCTGTTCATCTGGTGATTAGCACTCACATTGATTCTATCTTGGTTATTGTCAATAATACTGCACTAAACATGGGAGAGTAGCTAGCCCTTCAACGTATTGATTTAAGTTTTATTTTATATGCCCCCAGAAGTGGGATTGCTGGGTCATATGGTAGTTCTATTTCTAGTTTTTTGAAGAACCTCCACAGCATTTTCCTTAACGGCTGTACTAATTTACATTCCCACTATCAGCTTACAAGTGTTCCCTTTTCTACAATTTTGCCAACACTTATCTTTCGTCTTTGAGAGAAATAAGCTAAGCACAGAAAGACAGATATCACATGATCTCATTTTTATGTGGAATCTAAAAAAGTCCAACTCATGAAAGTAGAGAGTAGAATAATGGTTACCACATGCTGGGGGCAAGGTCAAGAGGAAAGGAATAGGAAGCTGTTGGTCAGAGGGCACAAAGTTTCAGCTAGATAGGGGGATGAGTTTTGAGATCTATTGCACACTGGGTTGAGCACAGTTAATAACAATGTGTTGTATATTTCAAAATAACTAAGAGTGCACATTTCAAAAGTCTCATCACAAACATGGATAAGTAAGTGAGGTGATGAGTATATTAATTAGGTTGATTTAATAATTCTACATTGTATCCATGTATTAAATCTTCACATTGTACACCATAAATTTATGCAAGTATGATTTGTCAATTGAAAATAACATTAATAACAAAGATAAATTAAAAAATAGAACAGTACAGTTCTTGGTATGTAGCAGATATTGTTGCTGTTGTCATCATCATAGTACCCTGACACCCGCTTGCTTCTGAAATCTGGTATTTGGCCAAGATAAAAAGACAAAGAATTCAAAGAGCACACAATTCAAACCAGCGTGTCTGAAGTTGCCTACAAAGGAGTTCCTAAAGTTGATTTTAGAATATCCTTTCTTATTCCAGGGACTTGCATTTGATTGGATTTTATAAACAGTCTTGAATTGGCTGTTGAATTCCAAAGAAAAGAACGTGTGTGTGTGTGTGTGTGTGTGTGTGTGTGTGTACACGTTTATTTATTTATTTATTTTTACTTAGTTTGGGAAATATTTCTATCTACATACATTTATATAAAGAAAATATATAGATCTCTCTACATATATTTAGTTATTTTGGGAAATGAGGACTCCCTTGTGATAAGGAAGATAAACTAAATAGTCAAGAAAGGGAAAGAGAGTTCCAGTGTTTTGGCCACTTGAGGCAAAGGCTATGCTTTGGGTGCTTCTTCAGGCTTTTACCCTCTGAAGTGCATTATTTTCCTGCTTCTACATATAGTATTGGCCAAGTAAGATCTGACATTTTATAATCTCATGTAAATATATATAATACTCAGCTGCATTTACTTGTTAGAAAAGTAAAAACATTTTCTGGCAACTTCTTAGATGTTAGCATGAAAAAAAGATAGAAATAACTTTGCATAATAAAAATAACTTAAAACTGTGTGAAATAGATGTATCAAAATTTTTGAAAATTCACTTGAAGTTTGAAGAACAGTGCAACCTTCTAACGTATCATCAGATATATTACAAAATATATATATTACCCAAAATATATGTACTACCCAAACTGATCTAAAACAAATATCTGGATACAACTTTTCAGTATTAATATTTTCATATCCACTCTTTTATCTACTGTTTACTTGCTAGAAAAGTAAAAACATTTTCAGGCAGTTTCTTACATCTTAGTATGAAAATAAATGATAGAAGTAACTTGTATAATAAAGATAGGTGTTAAAACACATAACTTTTAAAGAAATAGATGAATTAATTTTCTTTTGAAATAGAAAACCACCATGGGAGGTGGGCAAGGCATTCTTCTAATTTTACAGATAAAACAGGGTATTTAGAGATATGAGGTGACTAGCCCAAGGCCCCAGGAAGAATTAACCTGAAACCGCTTGGTTCCCTTCTCAAGGCTTGCAAGCATGTGGGTCAAGAAGGGCCTTTTACAGATGGAAATGGGGGAATAAGATTCCCTCAGAACATAAAATTACCTTGGATTCCTTATCCAGCCTTCCACCACCAACCATAGCCTGTCAGTCACCAAATTCTTCTGTTTTACCTCCCAAATATTTTTTCCACTCTATTGTTTTCATCTCCCTTCTGAGGTCCTGTGAAATAAAAGAAGTAATGAAGTGCTTGACTTGGTCTAAGCTCTGGCTCTCAGTTAACTTTGGTTTTGAGGCAGTTCATGGAATGTTTAGAGCATATGCTTTGGTGTCAGGAAGACTTAGTTGGAGTCTGGCCATGATGGCTCACGCCTGTAATCCTAGCACTTTGGAAGGCCAAGGTGGGCAGATCTCTTGAGCCCAGGAGTTCAAGACCAGACTGGGCAACATCATAAAACCCCTTCTCTACCAAAATATACAAAAATTAGCCAAGTGTGATGGTACACATCTGTAGTCCCAGCTACTTGGGAGGCTGAGGTGGGAGGATTGCTTAAGCCAGGATGTCAAAGCTGCAGTCAGCCGTGAGCTGCCATTGCACACTAGCCTGCCTGACAGAAGAAGACTCGGTCTCAATAAAAAACAGACAATTTTTTTTTTAATTGAAGGAAGACCTATTTTGGGTCACTAACTACAGATAAAATTGTGAGATGAACTCATCATTCGTCTTTCTAACTCTGTTTCTTCTATTTTAAACTGTAGCTAACATCTAGTACACGCAACAGGGGTTGTTTTAAGAAGTAAATGAGATTCTAGGAGATGAAGTGATTAGTAGAGTGCAGATGAATAGTGAGTGCTTAATTCATGTTACTCATTTTTATTATTTTATCACTGGTTTTGATTACCTCCCTTGTTTCCTTGTTTATAATTTTTTAATGCATTTTTTTTGCAAATTTACTGCAAATTATTTGATCATTTATAAAGATTCCTGACCTTTGTGGAAGTAAACAAAGATCAACCAAATGAGATATCAACGGCTATTTTATTCATAACTTGCTATAACAAGAGAGTCAGCTGCCATTCATGTGTTTGGCAGAGGCTGAAAAGCAGGCAGAGGAGGAGGAAGGCTATTTGGTGGGTGAAAGGGAATCCTCCAGGTGTGCCCCGATCGGAGGCTGTTGGCCTGAGGAAGTTGTCTGCTAGCAATGGGGCATCCCATGTGATTGGTTAGGAGAACAGATTCAGCCTTCTCTAGTTGGTCCCAAGTTGGAAGTGGGAGCTCAAATTAGGGAAGCCGCCAGTTATTAATCAAGTCCTGGCCACTTAGAGACAATTTTATAGATGTTATCGCTTGCCTTCATGGACTGCTGCTAGAGACAGCAGTCTGAGTATCTACAACTTGACTTCAACAGGCTGGCTTACTGGGCTAATTATTGAACACGAGGTTGGTTTAATATGCAGGTTGCTGCAGGTTGCAGGTTGGAATTCTAGTTTTGTACATGGTTTAGCTGTTGTCCACTAGTATGTGTAGACTCTCACCTTGCTGTCATGCTGATACATCCAAAGCACAAATCGTATTGGTGATTTCTCTGCTTAAAATCCTTCAATGGTTTCGTGTATCTCCAGGATAAGTTCAAAGGCCCTGAGCAGGACACTAAAGGTGCTCAATGGTCCCATCTTTTCCTGTGTTTGTGGTTTTATCCAAGATCACCGTTGGCAGGAGATTGTGCTTTATCCTAGAGGAATAACAACATCATTTGCATTTCCAGTGCATACACTTGACTGCTTGACAGCTCTGTTGATTGTTGTTCTTGCAGGGAACACCCTCCACCTACTGCTTTGCTCTTTATTGCCTTCATTTCAGCCTGTTTAGCCACCACCATCTCTGGAACCCTGCAGTGAAGGTGTTCAGCTCCTCATCTGTGCTCCCAGAACACCACGTGCCAACTTCGGCCCCAGGACTCAGTGCATCACATTCCAGTTCCATCTTCATGTATGTCTCTCTCCCATTCCAGACTGTGAGCTTCCCAAAGGCAAAATCTGTTTTATTTGTCCTCTTCCCTGGCACTTTGAGCAGGTCCTGGCACTTATTTAATGTTCTGTGCTGAATAAGAGTGGTAGGGGATTAGGACCAACATTTTCCAACTTCTGTTTGAGAGTTCTTTCCAGTAAGAAACGTCTTATGAAAATGTGACATTAAAAATGAATGCTGGAAAGTAATTTCGAGTGGTCCCATGGAACCAAATATGATTAAGGCATTTTCAATCTGTCCTCCGTGGCATTTCAGAAAATGTCTCTATCCTGAGCTTAAGTGTGGTGAGTAGTCTGCAACAGCTATTGTAAGGCAAATCCTATTCTTTGCCTGACAATAAAAACTGGATAAAGGAGCTCTTTTTGAAGCATCTGTTTGTGTCCTGGAATGTAAATATCTGCCACTTTTCTAACTAAGACTTCAGTAAGAGAACTCTGACACTCTCAGCAAAGATCCAACCTTAAGACAAAGAGAAACAGCAAATCTCAAAGATAAAAGTGGTAAAAATGGCCCCTAGAGTTGACGGAATACTTTTGAAGTGGTACCTTTCTGCTGAGGACGATAGCTGCAGGGAATGTGAAGGTTATTCTCCAAGACTAGGGGAATGTCACCAGGACCTTTGTCTCTTAGAACTGCCTCCTGCCGGTTGGGTGTGGTGGCTTATGCCTGTAATCCCAGCACTTTGGGAGGCCAAGGTGGGGGTGTGACGAGGTCAGGAGATTGAGACCATCCTGGCTAACATGGTGAAACCCTGTCTCTACTAAAAAAAAAAACAAACAAACAAACAAAAAAAAAACTGCCTTGCTTGTGCTGTCCCTCCTCCCTGACTCGAGATGAGTGCTCTCTCCCAAAAGGCAGTTACAATTGTTCTGTAAGCTGGTCTTTCCATTTCCCTTCTTGCCCCACCAATCCAAAGACTGACGCTTCCTAAGGCATGCTTTTGTTCTTGTCATTCATCTGCTCAAAGTGTCAGTTTCTAAAGGCCCAACCAGTAGGCATGCGTCCAAGACCATCTGTCCTGAGCCCACAACTTGCCTTTCCATTTCTAGTTCACTCTACAGTCTTTGAGTCGTACTCCAGCAATTTCAGAATATACCTTGCACGGTCCCACGTCCATAAGTTTCTTGACTTGAAATTTTCTACATGTCTATGATGGTTTTGCTGATCTCTTTATCTTAGAGGTTTTTAGACTCACCTGAAGGGGCTGGGGAGAAAGAGTTTATTAAATATGCAGATTCGTTGGTCTGATGGCAGCTTATTCTACAAAAAGTGCGCTTAAAGGAAGCAATATTTTGGGGGAAAACGTTTGTGAGTGGAAATGCCTAAAGAACCTGTCTTCAAGTGGTATTGGTATATTATGAAAATTGTTTTTACTTGGGTTGAATGACACAGATTAATAAAAATAGCAGACTCTCCAAATGACATTTTATTCAGACATCATAGGACAGCGATCAGTGACCCACATCAGACATTATTATGATTTTCATTTGGATTTGGTGGGTTTTAAGAAGATTGATTGCAGCATCCAAATCTATAGCACAGACTTTTGGGGTGTGTCTAGGTGCTGCATTTGTAAGAAGCACCCAAAGGGATTACTCTTTTTTTTTTTTTTTTTTTTTGAGACTGAGTCTAACTCAATGCAGTGGTGCAATCTGGCTCACTGCAACCTCTGCCTCCCGGGTTCAAGCGATTCTCCTGCCTCAGCCTCCTGAGTAGCTGGGACTGCAGGCGCCTGCCACCACGCCTGGCTAATTTTTTGTATTTTTTTGGTAGAGACGGGGTTTCACCGTGTTAGCCAGGTTGGTCTCGATCTGACCTCATGATCCACCCTCCTTGGCCTCCCAAAGTGCTGGGATTACAGGCGTGAGCCACCGCGCCCAGCTGGATTACTCTTTAGACTAAATTTTAAAGAGTCCTTGTGGGAAATAATCCAATATTTTTCATAACGTTTTTTGTAGTTGGTAAAACTTTATACCTGGGTAATTATTTTTTCTGGTGGATTATCAATACAACAAAAGACCCTGCATTACTTATTATTTGTATTTATTTATTTATTTTCTTTAGAGACAGGTTTTGCTTTGTCATCTAGGCTGGAGTGCGGTGGTGTGATCATAGCTCACTGCAGCCTCAAACTCCCGGTAACAAGTGATCCTCCTGCCTCAGCTTCCCAAAGTGTTGAAATTACAGGCATGAGTCACCACACTTGAAGACCATGTATTATTTCCCTTGAATCTCCACAGAACATGCCAGTGTTCCTTTTAGACCAGAAATAAACCACCAAATGTTAATTTCATGCGCGTCCGTGTGAAGAGACCACCAAACAGGCTTTGTGTGAGCAACATGGCTGTTTATTTCACCTGGGTGCAGGCGGGCTGAGTCCGAAAAGAGAGTCAGCGAAGGGAGATAAGGGTGGGGCCGTTTTATAGGATTTGGGTAGGTAAAGGAAAATTACACTCAAAGGGAGTTTGTTCTCTGGTGGGCAGGAGTGGGGGTCACAAGGTGCTCAGTGGGGGTGTTTTTGAGCCAGGATGAGCCAGGAAAAGGACTTTCACAAGGTAATGTCATCACTTAAGGCAAGGACCGGCCATTTACACTTCTTTTGTGGTGGAATGTCATCAGTTAAGGTGGGGCAGAGCATATTCACTTCTTTTGTGATTCTTCAGTTACTTCAGGCCATCTGGGCGAATACGTGCAAGTCACAGGGGATGCGATGGCTTGGCTTGGGCTCAGAGGCCTGACAGTTAACTTCTGGACTATGGCAGTTTGAGGGAATACAGGTTGTTTGATATTGTTACAGAGCAATAATTTGGGGGTAATAACAGGGTATTTTAATGCAATTTTATTCAATTTAGAAGATACATTCCTGAAAAAATCCAACTGTGCTCATCATTTGTAGCCTTACTGGAAAAATAAAGTTTAGTATAAGCAGGCATGTTAAATGTGCAATTTAACAGAATGTGCACTGAAATGCTTTGACTCAAAAGACTCTCTACTTTAATTTCTGAACTCTCAGTAATTTAGGTGACAGATATTTGTTGAAATTCATTGTATTTGTAATGGCACAAGAATATTCTCAGTCCAAGCTGAAAAGCATGTATCATCCTGGAACATGGAAAATCACCGACAATATGCAGGAAAAGAAGGAACCAAAAGGACATAGATGGTTTTGAAGTAACAAACATTCTTGCTTCAGGGAGTTACCAACTGGACGTAAAGCCAGGCTGAATTGTCTTAAGGAATGTATGTTAATTGTGATTTGAACCCTTGCTTTGTCAATGATGTGTCTTTTCTTTTTTAAATGCAGGCACTTATTTAAATAATTTATAGATGACCTTAATTAGTCATTGGTCTTCTAGTGGAGATGCTTGTTAAATTTGTAAAACAGATAGATCTACAGAGAACTGTTTTAGGTAGATCAAAGGAGATCCACAAAATTTTGGTCGGAGAATGAACTGAAAGTACAGTGGGCGTTCCACAACAGGGAACACTCATTGAGCTGCATAGAATTTCTCGGTGTTGGGTGTTCTGATTTGAAGCCTCATTACTTCCTCTGTATCATTAGGTAGCAAATTTACTTCACCCAAATTAAATTAATCAGTTATCTAATTAATACTTATACAATATTTTTAACAGTTGAGGGAAATTGAGGGAGGGGAGAGGATGACAGATGTCGCTATGCCGTAATTGGTAATGCACCAATTAAGGCAATCAGATACAACAAATTGGATTAAAACCTAACAGATCCAGTGATGTGTTTTGCCTTTTTTCTCCCCTGCAGCTGTAATGCAAAGTGAAAAAAAAAAAATTCAGTGTGTACAAACAAACCTTCGGATTAGTCATGACCGTTTCACGCTGTACTGTACAGTTGAGCCACATCTTTAGGATGCGACATTAATTGGGAGGGAAAGAACAGTTATTTGTTCTACCAAGGCATGGTGTAACATGTGATCATATGTGGCTCCTACATGTTGTTCCATGACATGCAAATCGTCCTACAACAACAACGTGGTTTATTAGGAATGTTCCTGACTCTAAATTTGGTGAATCCTTATATAAATGGTGATCTAAACTGCAGAAAAATGGTAATTTGGTTTTAAGTAGACAGATAGGGACAGCATGAATCTCAAAAGTTGCTCTTATTTCACCAAGTGTAAAAACAAAGATGGCAGATTGTGACTAGAGCTTCTGTCTGTCCCTCTCTCACACACAGCAGGCGTGGCCACTTGGCAGCAGCAATGTTTTCCACCAGAGATTAATATCATTTTACAAATCTTCTACACACAGATTTCCAGGGAGCCACTACCCACCGGGTGGACCCAGCCTATTTTGATTGTGAATTTACTATCAAGTTTATATTACATTAGTAATATAAGGACTTAAGGCTTAGGGGGGAATGGAGAGGGCAGGAAACATTATGACATTATGATGCCCGAATGTGAAATATGAATATCACATACCTTTTCACCACTTAGCTCCACGTCTGCTAGTGGCACAGATGAGACGTTAGGGAAAGAAAGTCAGAAACATTGTTTGGTTCTAATTTAGTGGATATTACTCAATTGCTGCAGGCCTGAGTGTGAGCCACCACACCCAGCCCAACCTATCAAAAATCACTCACGTCCTCTGCTTGTGTATCCTCTAGCATTTCTTGTCTTCATCAATACACTAGGTGTTGACGATGGTGGTTGAGTAACTCTAGAAGTCATAAATAGGTGAGAATGACCATATAGAGTTTATGATTGTAATAGGTTGGGAGAAGACAAACTGCAAAGAGCTAATGTCACTTCAAGCCTCCTTTTTTTTTTTTTTTTTTTTTTTTTTTTGAGATGGAGTCTCTGTCTGTCACCCAGGCTGGAGCACAGTGGCACGATTTCGGCTCACTGCAGCCTCCACCTCCTGGGTTCAAGCGATTCTCTTGCCTCAGCCTCCTGAGTAGCTGAGACTACAGGCGTGTACTACCACACCTGGCTAATTTTTGTTTGTTTGTTTGTTTTGAGATGGAATCTCCCTCTGTCACCAGGCTGCAGTGCAGTGGCATGATCTCGGCTCACTGCAACGTCCACCTCCCAGGTTCAAGCGATTCTCCTGCCTCAGCCTCCTGAGTAGCTGGGACTACAGGTGTACGCCACCATGACCAGCTAATTTTTGTATTTTTAGTAGAGACAAGGTTTCACCACGTTGGCCAGGATGGTCTCGATCTCTTGACCTCGTGATCCACCCGCCTCAGCCTCCCAAAGTGCTGGGATTACAGGCGTTAATTTTTATATTTTTAATAGAGCTGGAGTTTCATCATGTTGGCCAGGATGGTCTCAAACTCCTGACCTCAAGTGATCCACCCAACTCAGCCTCCCAAAGTACTGGGATTACAGGCGTGAGCCACCACGCCCAGCCAAAGCCTCATTTCTTGAAGAAAATCTTAGCTTCTAAATCGTTTTGTGTCCAAATTCCATATATCAGGCTTTGAGGGAAGGTGGGGGGTATGTACATGTGTGCTAAAGATAACATTACAGTGGCGCAGTCTGCATACACTCAGGCCTGCAGCAATTGAGTAATATTCACTAAATTAGAACGAATGTTTCTGACTTTCTTTCCCTAACGTCTCATCTGTGCCACTAGCAGGCAAGGGGCTAAGTAGTGAAAAGGTGTGTGATACTCATATTTCACATTCTGGCATCATAATGTCATAATGTTTCCTGCCCTCTCCATTCCCACCCTGAGCCTTAAGTTAGCCAGTACCAATCCGGACCACCCAGCTGCCAGAATCCCAACAGCAATGACAGCTCAAGAGTCCTGCTTTATCTGTGGCTCACATCCCAACCCATGCCCCTTGCCAAGTTTCATACTCTCTTTACCTGCTCTGGTTGCCCTCTTTGACCTCCTTTCTCTTTTGTGTCCTGCACACAAGATGCTGATTTTCTGGCATTGATGACAGCTCCTCTCTCCTATGTCACACTTTCCCCTTGCCCTTCAGTTTGTGCTTGCTTTTGATGTCACCGTGTGTAACACAACTGGAGTTCCTGGCTTCCCTTTACCCCGCCAGTGTTTCCCCTGAGTTTGCCATTCATCTCACAGAAGTTTTTCTTGTAACCTTAAGAGTTTTTCTTTTCTTCCCTTTGTACAAAAAAAAAAAAAAAAAAAAAAAAAAAAAAAAAAAAAGGTCACTTCTCAGGTCCCAACTCCTTCTTTTCTGGTGCCCTCATTTGTCAAAGTGACATCTGGTTATTGGAAAGTGGCAGTTCCTGCTATTCCATGAATAATGTGAATGGGCTAATTTGAGGGGTACTGCCCCATTTCCTGTTTAGAACTTACCAAAGGGGCACGTGCTTTTTGAAAATTGCTTTCAGAGAAAAACCTTCTAGACCAAGCTTGTCCAACCTGTGGCATGCAAGCTGCATGTAGCCCAGGACAGCTTTGAATGCAGCCCAACACAAATTCCTAAATTTTCTTAAAACATTATAAGATTTTTTGTGTGTGAATTTTTTTTAGCTCATCAGCTATCATTAGTATTAAGTTTATGTGTGGTCCAAGACAATTCTTCTTCTTCCAATGTAGCCCAAAGAAGTCAAAAGATTGGGCACCCCTGTGCTAGACTTTTATTAAGCTGAAGTTCATAGGTTTCCTTAGTTATTCAGGTTTCCTTGGTTTTTCACCCTAGTGTTATTTTTCTGTCCTGGGATTTGATCCTGGATACCATATTTCATTCAATCATCCTATCTCCCTAAGCTCCTCTTGTCTGTGGCAGTTTCTCGGAGTTTCCTTATTTTTGATGACTTTGCCAGTTTGGGGCAGTTGTGATCAAGTATTTTGGAGTGTCTCTTAATTGAGATTTTCCTGATGTTTTTCTCATGATAAGACTGAGATTCTGAGTTTTGAGAAAGCTCACAGACTTGTTAAGTTCTATTTTCTTCACATCACATCAAGGGTACATAACATCAACACAGCTTTTCACTGTTGATGTTAATCCTGGTCACCTGGCCACAGGAGTGTTCGTGAGGTTTCCCCAGTGTAAAGTTATTCCCCAGCCCCTTTTCTGCAGTGTTTGGGATTCTGGCATAAGTCACAGATGTTGGCCTCCTTTGGATTGTCTCCGAGGCTTTCAGTATTGGTCCCTATGAACTGGGCAATCACATCGTGCTTAAAACAGGTCTGTTGTCTAAGAAATTAGGATTCTAATATTCTTACTTTGTTGCAGACCAAAAAAAACTTCTTTGGGTTGTTGTTTATTTTTATTTATGTTTTTAGTAGATGCCAGGTAAGGAAGGAAAATAGCTGTGATCCTTGTGGTGAAACTCTGCATCTTGGCTGTAATGGTGGTTACATGAACGTACACATCTGATAAAATCACATAGAATGAATCATACACACACACAGACATACACAAAATTGCATGTAAAACGGACGAGATCTGAACACAGTCAATAGTTTGTGTCAATGTCAATTTCCTGCTTGTGACGTTATACTCTAGTTATGCAAAGTACTACCACTGGGGAAAGCTGAGTAAAGGATGCATCTTTCTGTATTATTTCTTACGACCTGCAGGTAAAGCTACAATTATCACAAAATAATAAGTTTAAAAAGATTAAACTATTAAATACAATTTAAAGTATCTGTGCAGTTCTTTTTGTCTTTAGAATACACTTCACTAAGCCTATATAGTCAAAAAATACATATTTTAAAGTCACGTGAAAAAAATGTACTATGGGCTTATATTATTAATGCAATATTCAGTTAGAGTTATTTGCTCATTTACTTTTATTTGTTTTCAATATCAGGGATTTCTTACTAAACTGAGTTGTGTTTTCTTAATAGGTAATGTATCTACATGATTCAAAAGTTAACAATAAAATGAAGAGATGCCTAGAAAATCCTGCTTCCTTTAGTGCCTCTTCCTTTGTTTTCCCGAGGTCTCAACCCTTTATAGATAAATATTTTCTTATGTCATACTTACCCTTCCAGAGTTTGTTTGTATGAACGAATAACTGCCTTATCTTACTAAAGAAATCAACATACAATACATACTATGATGCATGTTGCTCGTTTTCCCGGTATATTTTAGAATAACAATATATTCTGTCTTTATCATAATACATAGAGAACGTCCTTATTCTTAAAAACTATATGATATTAGATTCCACCACAAGAATGTACCATAGTTTACTCAGTTTTCTTTTGCAGAACAGTAAGCTAACAGATAATACCACAATGAATAACCTGGTACGTATGAGATTTCTTACTTATTCAGGAATATCTGTAGTGGGCATTTCTAGAAGTTTGATTGTCAGGTTTAAAAATTAAAGAATTTGCAATGTTATTAGATACTGTCAGATTTTCCTCCATAGATATTGAACTATTTTGCTCTTCTTCCAGAAATTACAAGTGTCTCTTCAACACCATTATTTTCAAACTCCTGTATTTTCTCCAATTTGATAGCTAAGAAATGATTATTAACGTAGTTAATTTTTATTCATTTTATTATGAGTGAGGTTGCACATCTTCACAAATGCTTAAATGCTATTTGTAATTTGTTTTTTGTGTGATTTGTCTTTTTATATCCTTTGTTTAGTTTTTTCCATTGGGGTGCTCTTCTATTTCTTCTCAATTTCTAGAAGTTTAAAATGTATATATTACATATAAATATATACTATATATAATTGATATATATTTTAAATACATGTATTTGTTTTTAAATATATGTTTATTATAAGTTTATTATATATCACATATTTTATAAATATATGTATATATCATACAATATATTATATTATATAATATATAAATATATTGTATATCAATATATTATATAATATATATCAATATATTATATATCAATATATTATATAATATATATCAATATAATATAATATATATCAATATGTTATATAATATGTATCAATATGTTATATAATATGTATCAATATGTTATATAATATGTATCTATGTTATATAATATATATCAATGTTATACATATCAATATGTTATATAATATATATCAATATGTTATATTATATAATATATATCAATATATGCAGTTATATATAATGTATATGTGTAACTTACATATTATATAGCATAGTATATATTAATAGGCTATATATAGGAAACGCTTAGAAATTTAGGTATGTATACATATATATGTAGTCATATATATACACATATGTGTATATATGTGTACATATATGTGTGTGGGTGTGTATATGTGTACACACATACATTTACTTCTTTGGGTTTTTAAACCGACATCCTGTGGCTCAAAAGGAGATAGAGCGAGCATTGAACAAGTCAAATCCTCCATTTTTAACCATTCCCAAACTAGAGGATGAACACAATCAATACATATGTTATGATTAGACAACAAAGGTTAACACAATCAGTTCCAGATATTGATCTCAAAGTTCAGAATAACAAACACATTCCATCATGAATCATAAAACATTCCATTAGGTAATAAATGAACCCAGTACAATGCTTGGTGATGTAGTAGATACTTAATAAATATTTATTGAAATAATGATATTTGGAATGATTTATGTTAAAACATATTACTGATTGACTAAAATATGTTACCTATGTTAATCCAAGTTCTTTGTGTCCCAGTTATGAGTTCCTTGTACCTTGTATTAACTACATCAGTTCTTCTAGGTAGACACCTAACAATTGTTATTGTTGACATGATTGCAGCTATGTAAAAAATGTACATACAGCAAAGAGTCTTCTATGAAATACACCAGAATGGTTGTCACTTTTCTAGATGCCGAGACAATAGATGATTCTCAACTTCATTCTTCTTTTATACATTGTCACATTTTCCATAATAAATTTCACTACACTGTCAATGGTTAAACATTCCTTATTTTTTTAAAAATGGAAATGTGGCTGGGTGCAGTGGCTCATGCCTGTAATCCCAGCACTTTGGGAGGCTGAGGCGGATGGATCACCTGAGGTCAGGAGTTCGAGACCAGCCTGGCCAACATGGTGAAACCCTGTCTGTACTAAAAATACAAAAATTAGCTGGGCATGGTAGCAGGCACCTGTAATCCCAGCTACTTGGGAGGCTGAGGCAGGAGAATTGCTTGAACCCGGGAGGTGGAGGTTGCAGTGAGCTGAGATCACGCTATTGGACTCCAGCCTGGGGTACAAGAGCAAGACTTCATCTTAAAAAAAAAAAGAAAGAAAATGCTTCTACTACTGATACATTTGGGCGGTCAGCCATATATGGGCAGCTATTCCATATTTTGGCAGTTGTTCAGTATTTTGGTCCCATTGCAGTGGAAGCTATAAAACTTCTAACTGGGGAAGTTTAGGTAGGTAACAAACTATTATAACTATTGACAAGACTTTATCCCCAGTGCAATGGGTTTATTAAAAACAAGCAATACAAGGATATGATTATATATCTTAGTTTCTGATAGCCATTCTCGATATGAAAATAGCTGAAAAGAGATCCCAGAGTAACTAGGGATTCTTCTATAATAAACCATGGCTGTCAAGATTAAAGCAAATTCATCCATTCTCTGCAGAGTAACTCTCATTAATTATATGAGCATGATTTTCTTCCTGGAGAGTTATTTAAGTGAGCAATTTCTCCCATCACTGTGGGATGTGGTCAGACACACTTGAACTTTGAGGAGTGTGCCTTTGATTCTCTTATTTCTGACTAAATTGCTAAAAGTCAGACATCGTGTGGAAATGGATTTTGGTACCAACCTACATGAAGAAAGATCACTTAGCGTTCTCCTAGTGCACCGAGGTTTTCCTTTGAAGTCTGTTCAAGGGAAAGGTTTTGCTTTCCGACAACATAAAAATTATTCTCCTGGACTGTGCTTTGAGTTTATCAATTTGTGGAGGTCATATCCCCAGCAAAACTACAAAGAATTGCATTCAGCAAGCATCGAAGACCTTTGTCATGTAGAAACACTATATGCTGAGATGATCTAGGGTAGAGGGGAAAGGGTATTTTTAAAAAAAGGGAGAATCAAGGGCATGATAAACTTTATTGCCCTAAATGCATACTTTTCTTTTATTCTTCAATTTATACATCAAAGTATTAAATTATAAAAATATTTATAATCCTCTCGTTTGCAAGTCTTTATATTGCTGTTGATGGTGCTGATGACCATGATGATTGTATTTTCCCTAAACACTATGCATCCCTAGAGTTCTTTGAACATTTTCATACTTCATACCGCATAATGTTAGGGGTTAAAATTATGCCAAATTAGTGATAGCTCTTATTATTTCAACACTTATTTTCACTAGCCCTTGCTGAGCCTCCAAGCTTTGTGCAATACCTGCATTTATCTTTGTGAGTCCCCAGGGCAAGCTTTAAGGATACTCATGAAGAGACCTGATTAAATTCCCAGTGTAATCACGAATTAATTCTCCCATCATGGCCCTAGTCCTGCTTTTTTTGATGCCACTATCAACTCCACTAAAGACACATTAAATTTTGGAGCGTGTCAAAGCAGCACATTCTTGGTCTCCATACCCACCTGGTGAAGATGGAGCTGAACTGTGAGACGAGAAGGCTGCCTGCATTATTGATTTGTTTGACACTTTTATACATAGACCTATACCCTAAAGTTTCATAAGAGGAGCATGCCTCTTGATATGGATTTTTAGCCCCTTTCTTCACTAGGGTTTAAAAAGCAGCTCCTGGAGTCTGGCATAAGGAGATGACTGATTTCTGAGACTGACCTGGGCTGCATTATCTGCTTTCATCCCATCCAATGGTCAAGCCCCTTCCATCTGAGTCTCACTTCCTTCTTTAGGTTTAGCTTGCCATCCCCTAGGGTTCCATCATCAAATGCTTTGACAAAGGCAATGGGTCACTTTCTAACTTCCTCTATGTTGTAGCATGAGTTATATGTTGGAAAGCATGGTCTTATTCTTATCTTTACTAATTATTCACTTCCATGAGCCTACACAGTTTTTTACCTCTGAGTTTCTCTTTTCTCATTTGTAAAACAGGGCAGAAATACCTCCCCAAGAGAGTTATAAAAATGACATGATGTAACATATGCAACATTTAAAATGCCCTTCTACCCATTATAGACCCTAATATGGTAATGCATTAGTATTGGGTAACTTAGTGAGCTGAGAATCTTCTGGATGAAAGCAGGGAAAATAGGAAGTTCTCTGGCCAAATGAAGGAAAGGATTAGGTCAGAAAATTTTCAGTTCTCAGGTATGCCATATCTCTCTCTACTCCAGAAAATTCCCTTCTGGAGGAAAAAGTGAATATAGGTAGGAAATAGATACAAGCATCATAGTAGTTTTGAGAAAAGGGAAAGTGATCACCCATAATGCAACTAAGGACATGATATCAACCTCAAGTCTATGGAAATTCTGGCGATTCTCCTTCCCACACTTGTACAATTCTACACATTTTATGAATTATGCCAGGTGAGTGGGACTCTAGATGCTTTAAGATTTCACATCCTAGAAAGGTGGGAAAATATCACTGGCAGCAGCAGAGGTGAAAGAGAATTTACAATGAATCATCTAGAAGGTCTCAACATCTGTATACAGTCTTGGATTTGAGATATTTCCAGGACTGCTGAGAAAGGGAAATGTCTCCTCAAATAAAATATATCAACAAAGTAGCTACCTGGGAGCATGATAGCAGGTTGTGTGCATTATGGCATTGTCATTATCTCATCTCTGTTGTAAGAGAGAAAAAACCGCATCTTAATTATCTTTGTTTCTCTCAAAGTATGAGCTCATAGCTCTGTGCATAATAGGCTACAATAATTTTATAATTGTTGAAATTAAACATCCAAGCACTACATTTGCCTTAGAAAAGTCATTTGACTATTGCGTATCTGACTATGACAATTCCACATCGTACTTTTGACAGCTTCTTAAAATTGTCCCAGCACTATGACTATTCCATATCATACTTTTGACAGCTTATTGTTCCAGCAGCTACCTCCAGACCTGCTGCCCGGCAGTCGGCTGCATCTAAAACTCACAGGGAGTGAGGCTCTTTGGCACAGAGGAAAGAGTCAATGTTCTGAGCACTCTATGAATGGAGTAGAGTTGCCCTGTGATTTCTTCATTATGAATATGCTGGTGACCTTGGCTGAATTATGCTGCTATGATGTGTTCCTTACACATTTCTTTTTCCTGGCTTTTGTCTAATTACCTTCATTCCATTCACCAAGGTGGCTGCTCCTGTATGAAGGTTTTATCTTATTTTTTTCTGCGTTTAGTATAGCGTAGCCAGAGGCCAATAAACATGTCCTTCATTCTTAGAAACCAATGGCAATTCAGAACCTCATTTACTGAGGGCTTTGTCCTGCCACTTTCTGTTAAATGGAACTGGTAGAAAAGCAGGGGAAAGTTGGCCTGACTCTGGTTTTGACACTGCATTTTCAGAGCTCGCATTCTGTTGGAAAGAACAATCATTAAATGGGTCAGCAAGCTCTGGATTTCAATTTGGGGAGTTTCACTGAATTTAAATTAGTTCTAAGGTTGTGAGAAAAATGGTTTGCTTGCTATTCCATACCAGCAGTATAAGTCTGAGAAGACAGTGGCAGGCTGTTGGGGAAGAATCCTAATGGGAGTCTATTGATTAAAGAAACTTTTCCGTTCTTAGGTATGCCATATAAAGATCTTCCTGTTTTAAAAATCCATCAAAGGGTCATAGTTTGTAAACTCTGCATACGTGCAGAGAAGCAAATTATAAGTAGTCAGTACATTGGGGCCAGGCGTGGTGGCTCACGCCTGTAATCCCAGCACTTTGGCAGGCCGAGGCAGGCGGATCACGAGGTCAGGAGATCGAGGCCATCCTGGCTAACACAGTGAAACCCCATCTGTACTAAAAATACAAAAAATTAGCCAGGCATGGTGGCGGGCACCTGTAGTGCCATCTACTCACAAGGCTGAGGCAGGAGAATGACATGAACCTGGAAGGCGGAGCTTGGAGTGAGCTGAGATTGTGCCACTGCACTCCAGCATGGGCGATAGAGCAAGACTCCGTCTCAAAAAAAAAAAAAATTAGTCAATACATCAACATTTTGTATAGTGCCTACTTAGAACAATGACAATGCCAACTTTCAACAAATTTTATTCATGAATTCTTGCTGTATCCAGTCTGTTCTTAATGAAATGTGATGTGAAATGGAGACAAGTTAGATTACTGATAGTCAAGAATCCCTGAAATACTACCTCACCTCTTGAAGGTCAGTTTTTGTAGGGATAAAATGAGATAATCATTCTTACTTTGGTTGTTAAATGAGACTTTTTCTATTGCCTTGGAGTTTCAGCAAAAGTTGCAAAGCTGAAGACAATAGATGGTAGTTGAATCCTTCCTTATTCTAAAGATTCAGCTGAGCAGGAGGCTGGGAGCCTCTCCAGTGTTTACTGTGACCCTCCACCTCCCATCGCAATAGAACAAGAGAGAAGACTAGAGAATTTGGGAAACACTCCTAGAATGTGAACCCAGTAGAAGTACTGGGGCATTTTCTCTCCTCCCTCTGTCAGGGAGTGGAGAGCGTGATCCCCAGGTCAATTAGTTGGAGGGACTTTAAGAGGATGTTCAGAGAGCTGTCCTGGCTGCAGGTGTTTTAAGTTGTGCAAAATCATGGTGAGGTGAAAGTGAGAGGCTTCTGGGAAGGCCTTGAGTTGTTCCCTGAAAAGTGAGGCCCATAGAAGATGCAGAGACTCTTTGCTGGAAGAATGCTGGAGTGGGAGGCATGGAGAGAGAGGAGAAAAGGATCAGGGTGGGGCCTGCCCTTCTCCCCATTTGGCAAGAATACATACATTGCCTGTGAGCCAGAAGGATGCTGTTAAATTCAGTCAGTCCTGAGACAGGGAGATTTTGGTAATAAGTAGACAGTTGGTGGCAGGGAAGCCTACAGAGGCCAGAGAGAGACCCCTTTGGGACTCTTTTGGGAAACTGCAATTTAAAAGACAGTGTGTGTGTGTGTGTGTGTGTGTGTGTGTGTCTGTGTGTTTGCGAGTGCCTCCTGAAGAAATCCACCTGCCCTCTGGCAAGCAGCCTTTCATTTGTATTGATAAGTGAATACATCAGTGTCCAAAACTTTTTGTGATTTTCTTCTAATTTGCAACACATGCGCCCCTCCTGAAGTGCAGACCCACCAGCACTGGTCAGTACGTCAAGGCCATGAGTGTCACGATTTTCTTCTAATTTGCAACACATGCACCCCTCCCCAGGTGCAGGCCCACCTGCCCTGGTCAGTACCTCAAGGCCATGAGTGTCAAGACTGAATGTAAAACCCACCAGTGCTTAATGAGCGCTGAGAAAGGAAAGCTCTTGTGAGCATGATCACAAGGACTCTGTGAAAGAAGATTGTGTTACATAAATAAAGTCATCGTAAGCATTTCCATGTTACTCTGATAGAAACATTTCTGAAAAATCCATCAAGTAGTGTTTTTTCCTGACAAATAATCAAACTAAAATTCTATGGCCCTGAAAACATTTTCCCAAAGTATTATGAAATCAAATAAGTAATTTAATTTAATAAGTGATTAAAATCATAGAAACAAAAATAGAGATAAACAAGTTGTAAATGTTTATTATTTTAAATCATTTCAGTTCACTTTCAGTTCTGGTTCATTGGCACTAAAATTTAAAGAAAAATATGGGCTAGAAAACATTGAACAGAAAAATCACTTATCTGCCATAATATCTTCTGAATTATTCTTGGTTGTTTTTCACACCCCCTTTTCCAATATTTTAAAGCTATATTTTCATGATAGCATATTCATTTATTCAAATACAGATTTTTCCACGTGTGTTGTAACTTGTGTTTACGCTACACCAAAAGAGTGTGGGGAGAGAGAGATGCAGAGAGGGCAAGATAGTAATTCAAAAATGCAGCCAGGGATTACTTGAAAAAATGCAGAACTCCACAACACAATGGGTAGCACTTTTAATTAAATTTATAGCCGAACTGATAATAAAATTGGTAATTTGACTTGTATTTTCTTTTAAATCTCCTTTAATTCTTAAAAATAAGATACAGTAGTATAATTTTCTATTCTGAGTTATACTTGTTCAGATTCAAGCTCAGGGCATTGTTGTTTCTGAGGCATCTGCCACAGAAAAATACATAGGACACATATTCTAAACCTTTGCAATAATCTCCACAAAGATGTATCTGATCAGTTACATACAGCTGGAACTTACATGGGCCTGCAGGCCCTTTGTTCAAAAAACTAATCATTTTTTCCTGGTGGTATCAAGTGATAAGGGTAGAAATCACTCCTTTTCTTGACACCGGGTCAAGAGAGGCAGGCTTATTTCTTTAAGCCTGTAGAGATCTACTTGGAAAAGAACTGAATCGTATGCAGCATTTTTCAATGCCAAATGGCCTATTTAAGATTTTTATCAGAGATTCTTATTTCTAGTAATGTCAAGTTTTGATATTCAGATCAAACCCTCAATGAAAATGCCTGAAACTCCTTAGACAGAGTAAAGAGCTGACAAGAAAGGAGAAAGCTCCCTGGCCAACATCTAAGAGGAAATGAGAGAAAGAGAGTGCACCAGGGCATCAGATGGCTAGAGCCACTTTAGCCGGGAGGGTATCTGTGGAGCCCAGTGATTTGGGGCCCACAGATGCTCAAGGAGAGGAGTCAAATGGGGAATGCTCTGCATTAATCTGAGATCCCGAAGGGCACCCCTCTCAGAGTAGAAGTGAATTAGATTTACACCTCCACCTCACTATCACAGGGAACAGCAGGGAAATGGCTGCTTCCGGTCTTAGGTTGAGTTTTCACACAGCTGACTTCAAAGACTGTGTTAGCAATCTAGGAGAAATGGAACCAATGAGAGATTATCTATGTATCTATCTATGAATTATCTATTTCAATATCTATTTATTTGTTTATTTTTGAGATGGAGTCTTGCTCTGTCACCCAGGCTGGAGTTCAGTGGCACGATCTCAGCTCACTGCAAGCTCCGCCTCCCGGGTTCATCCCATTCTGCTACCTCAGCCTCCCGAGTAGCTGGGACTACAGGTGCCCACCACCACGCCCAGCTAATATTTTGTATTTTTAGTAGAGACAGAGTTTCACCGTGTTAGTCAGGATGGTCTCGATCTCCTGACCTCATGATCTGTCTGCCTCGGCCTCCCAAAGTGCTGGGATTACAGGCGTGAGCCACCACTCCTGGCCTCAATATCTATTTATTATAAGAAATTGTCTCATGTGATTATGAAGGCTGGGAAGTCCAATGATCTGCCTTCTGCAAACTGGAGACCCAGAAAAACTGGTACTAGAACTCAGTCCAAGTCCGAAGGCCTGAGAAGCAGGGAAGCAGAAGGTACAAATGCCAGTACAAAGGCTGGAGAAACTGACAAACGGTGTCCCAGCTCAAGCAGTGGGGCAGGACAAAAAGGGACAGATTTTTTCTATTTCTGACTTTTGTTCTATTCAAGTCCTCAACAGATTGGATGATGCTACCCACATTGGGTAAGAGTGATTTACTTTACTGGGCCCACTGCTTCAAATGCTAATCTCATCCAGAAACACCTTCACAGACTCACTCATAAACAGTGTTTAATATGAGCACCACATGGCCCAATAAAGTTGACACAAAAAATTAACCATCACAGAGGCAGATTTGAGTACAAATAGTTTATTGGCAACCTTGGCAGATGCTGTGTTATGCAACCTATATTCCCCCTTCATGAAAGACACACTCACTCCCTACATCTATGAGTGTGGGTTGCAGCTGTCTCTCAGGTGAATGCCTCTCTAGGACTTGCCCTCAGCTGAAGAGAGCTCCTCATCCATGGTCACCCCTTCCATGGTATCAGCCACATCCAGTGACTTGTTTTTGCAGGGGATATACAGGCCTGGCCTCCTTGTCTGAAGGTGAGAAATCTCTGAAGGTCATTCCTATTCTGAAGCTCCCTGTGGGGTCATTTGAGGCCTCTGCTGAAACTGCATTGTGGTTTAGTTTTTCTCTCTGCTCAATTCTGCTTAATCTGCCTTCACAGATCCTTCAATAAGCCTCTTTTATATAAAATCTCAGAGACTTGGAGTTTGTTTCCTGGGGAACCAAATGACAAGAAACAATTCCAGAGAATGTGGATATAAGCTAAGAAAGGGAAGTAGATGAACAGATTATGTTAGGCAACCGATTACTGCTCGGGGAAACTGCAGCTCAATCCCACTGCAGAGCCCTGTGAGATGGCACAGAACATGCCTCAGAGGGACAAGGACATTTGACTATTTTTCACCAACTTTCTTTTTTTTTTTTTTTTTTTGAGACGGAGTCTCGCTCTGTCGCCCAGGCTGGAGTGCAGTGGCACAATCTCAGCTCACTGCAAGCTCTGCCTCCTGGGTTCACGCCATTCTTCTGCCTCAGCCTGCCGAGTAGCTGGGACTACAGGTGCCCGACACCACGCCCGGCTAATTTTTTGTATTTTTAGTAGGGACAGGTTTAGTGTTAGCCTGGATGGTCTCGATCTCCTGACCTCGTGATCCACCCGCCTCGGCCTCCCAAAGTGCTGGGATTACAGGCGTGAGCACCCGGCCCCAACTTTCATTCATCATCAATTGAGAGTTGTTCTCAGGACTGTCCACTGTCATGTCCCGAGCATCACCAGCCTGCCTGGAAAATATGCCAGCACTCTTCCATGATCCCAGGAATATCAAGGGTCATGGAGTAAGAACCACTTCAGGAATGGAAATGAGTTTTGATGGGATGTGATCAGAACATCAATGACAGCCACTATAATTTGATTCTGAAGGAGCACAGTAAAATAGGAAAAGGGAAATAACCTCAGTAGTTGTGGCAAAGATCCAGTTCCAATGTGAATTCACGCCCCTTGCACACACTACCTCTCCATGGTCCATGGACTTGACACCCTGTAAACTTGCTTCAACTGGGTCTAGACTAGTACTGACTCCAACAGCCTGAAAGAAGGAAGTTCAAACCTGCTATAAAAGAAGAATCCATCATCCTAGGTATTGGTAAATACCCACGTATATATTCTTAAAGAACAATATAAAGAAAAAAGTAAACATAAATTCAAATTGAGAAGTTGAGGAGGCACAAAGAAGGAAAAGCTGTTGAAGCAATAAAAAGAAAACCTAGACTTATAAGGACTCTGGCTATTGGACTTGTAAGAGATTGCACAACAACTAGTTTATTATGCACACAGGGAAAAACATAAACTTGAGTTTATTTGCAGCAATAGAACTTTATAAGATGACTAGGCATATTTGAAAAAATAGAATGTCTGGAAATGAAAATAAAAATTTCAATCAATCTGAAATTCAATACTCAGTAGAAAGATTAACAGCTGACTAGAATGTGCTGATAAGAGAAATGACAGATGTGTCACAAGAAATTATGAAGAATATAAAATTGAAGAATATTAAAATGTGTGGTAAGAAGACAAGGAAAGTATGCTTGTAATTGGAGTTCCAGAGTAAAAGAAGTGGGGCCAAAATCATTTGAAAAATTAGTTGCCCAAATTGTGCAAATTTGCCGAAAGCTAAAACCCACAGATCAGAAAATCTCAATAAAGCCCAAGAAGAATAAATATAAAGAAAACCACACCAAGTCACAAAAACTATTGCTTAAACTATGTGATAAAGAAAAATATCTGAGGCAGAAAAAAAGACTAATTACTTATAGAAAAGTGAAGATAACAATTATAATCTGACTTATTACCAGAAACAGTGCAACCCAGAAAAAATAAAAAATAGAATATTTGAAGTTCCAGAAAAAAGTAAAGGTTGTCAAACTAGAATTTTATACCTAGAATGAATAATTTTTAAACATGAAGGTGAAATAAAGGTGAGAGACTCCTTTGCCAGCAGATCTGTACTACAAGAAATGTTAAGGAAAGTTCTTTAGGCAGTGAGAAAATGATACCAGATACAATTTAGATCCATGCAAAAGGATGAATAGTGTCAGAAATAGTAAACTGTGGCATATTCATACAACAGAATGCTATTAACAATATAAAGGAACAAACTACAAATACACATAAAATGTAAATGAAGAATATAAAATCCTTAAAAAGATTTGCTGAATGGTACATATTCATACTGAAAATTTTCATTTATGTAAAGTTGTAAAACAGGCAAAACTATGGTGAAAAATATCAGAGCAGTAATTTTTTTGGAAGTGTGGGTGAAGGATTGGCTGAGAAGGAACATGAGGTTACTTTCTGAGTTCATGGAATATTTTATATTTTTATAGAGGTTTGGGTTTCAGAGGTGTATATGCTTTTCAAAATTCAATAAATGTACACATTAGATGTGTTCATTTCATTTAAGTAAATATACATCTAATGATAAAACTAAACAAATATTGGATTCTGGTTAATAAGATGCACGCTGATTATCTCTGGGGAGGTCTGACATCTGCAATTTACTTTGAAATGTATCAAAAAGAATAATTAATAAATTGATAGAAAAGTAAATAGGCATATAGTAATATGGGAAGATAGAATAAAGATGGAAGCTATACAGGTGCTCACTGACTTCAACTTTGCTCTATATTGGAAATTGTTCATCATAAAATTTTAAAGAACAATGAGGGCCGGGCACGGTGGCTCATGCCTGTAATCCCAGCACTTTGGGAGGCTGAGGCGGGCGGATCACGAGGTCAGGAGATCGAGACCATCCTGACTAACACGGTGAAACCCCGTCTCTACTAAAAATACAAAAAATTAGCCGGGCATGGTGGCGGACGCCTGTAGTCCCAGCTACTCGGGAGGCTGAGGCAGGAGAATGGCGTGAACCCGGGAGGCGGAGCTTGCAGTGAGCCGAGATCGTGCCACTGCACTCCAGCCTGGGCGACAGAGCGGGACTCCGTCTCAAAAAAAAAAAAGAACAATGAGGAAAAATGTTAAAACCCAAATTATAAATCTAATATTGAAAAATGCTTCATGACATTGTGGATTTCTTAATGCAAGGCACAAAGAGAATGAACCATAAAGTAACAGAGTAATGAATTCAACTACATTGTACTCAAGAACTTCTCTTCATCAAAAGACAGGATGAATAGAGCACAAAGATGAACTACTGGGCACAGGATGATATCTGCAACATATAACTGACCTAGTTTCCAGATCCTACAGAGAACTCCTACAAATCAAATTATTGGTTTAATTTAAATCAATTAATGAAGAAAAGTCAGGAAGCATAACAGAAATATTGAGCCAAATAATTGCTTGGGAATTTCACCAAAAAGGCAGTCCAAAGAATGCTTGGTAACATGTAATTAACAAATGTTAATTAACCCCCCCAAATACCATAAATATCTCAACAGACCATGTATATGTACAAAGTCTAAAACACATCATGCTCTTGAAGACGTGGACGAGTGAAACTATCCACTGTTGCTGTATTTGGTAAAATTACATCAAGAAACTATCTGACATTATCTAATAAAGTCAAATATGGAAAAATATGAAAAAATAAATTCATCCCTACATGTATAGAGAAAATCTCACATATATGTGCCAGTATACTGGATGTAGAATACATTTCATTTCAGGCTTGTACCTCCCTTCCCTAAAAATACAAAAAAAAAAAAAAAAAAAAATCAATCCACCAACTTGGAAAGAAACAGAAACATAATGTTAAACAAGAAAATCAAGATACAAAGGAAAACACATTGTATGAGTCATTCATATAAAGTTCAAAATGAGGCAAAACAAATCCATATTCAGAATGCATATCTAATTGGTGAAGCCATGTAGAAAAAATAAGACATGATCATCAGCAGCGTGAAGATAATGGTGCTCTTAGAGGGCAGCGACGTCCCTTGTGCCTGGGCAGGGCTCGCAATGAGTGTGCTCCTGGGGCGCTGGCGGTGTTCTATTTCCTCACCTGACTGGCAATGACATGCTTGGTCATTTTATTAGTTAAAATATACAGATATGTAAAAACACAAATATGTTTAATTCACTTTTCTATAGTCATGCTATATTTTTCAAGGAAAGAATCACGCCAGGCGCAGTGGCTCACACCTGTAATCCCAGCACTTTGGGAGGCTGCGGCGGGCGGATCACTTGAGATCAGGAGTTCAAGACCAGCCTGACCAACATGGAGAAACCCCGTCTCTATTAAAAGTACAGAAAATTAGCCGAGCGTGGTGGCACATGCCTGAAATCCCAGCTACTTGGGAGGCTGAGGCAGAAGAATTTATTGAACCTGGGAAGCAGAGGTTGCGGTGAGCCGAGATGACACCATTGCACTCCAGCCTGGGCAACAAGAATGAAACTCTCTCAAAAAAAAAAAAAAAAAAAAAATCAAAATACTGCTTTTCATAAAACAATATTATTGATAATGATTCTATATTTTGACATAAGCACCACAAAATGGCGTTTTTGTTGAAAAAGAGTTTATCCTCTGACTTTTGACAATCTCTTTAATGTCTTTTAGTCTCCTCTATCTGCACTCTCCCTCTGACACACTTTTTCCATAGGATATTGTGAAGAAGAGGGGGTTCAACCCAGGAAAGGATACCCCCAAGACACACACTTGGTACTGCATCAGTTGATGATTTTCCCCAAAGAGACACAGTTTGTCTATAAATCCTGATGTACGCCTCCAACACAAGACGAGGCGCTCTGTTACACCAGTGGTTCTGTGTGATCTGGATGACGCTGGCACCTTTCCACCACTAGGGTTCTCTCTCACATTTGATTCAGGGTCATCAAACACAAGAGAAGGTGGTAGGCATCAAGGATGCATAATGAGATAGTAATAACCAAGCCATAGTAATAATTATAAAAACAACAGCTAATTCTTATTAAGTACTTATTATGAGCAGTGTATTAGTCAGTGTTCTCTAGAGGGATAGAACTGATATGAGAGATGTATATATGAAGGGGAGTTTATTAGGAGAATTGACTCACACGATCACAAGGTGAAGTCCCATGAAAGGCCGTCTGCAAGCTGAGGAGCAAGGAAGCCAGTCCGAGTCCCAAAACCTTAAACGTAGGGAAGCTGACAGTGCATCCTTCAGTCTGTCCCGAGAGTCCCTGGCAAATCTACTGGTGTAAGTCCAAGAGTCCCAAGGCTGAATTTGGAGTCTGATGTTCGAGGGCAGGAAGCATCCAGCACGGGAGAAAGATGAAGGCTGGAAGATTCAGCAAGTCAAATCCTTCCAATTTCTGCCTGCTCTATTCTAGCCGCGATGGCAGCTTATTAGCTGGTGCTCACCCGCACTGAGGGTGGGTCTGCCTCTCCCAGTCCACTGACTCAAATGTTAATCTCCTTTGCCAGCACCCTCACAGACACACCCAGGAACAATACTTTGCATCCTTCAATCCAATCATGTTGACACTCAATTATTAGACATCACAGGTATGCAGTGTTGTAAGTACTTCATGTATATTACTTCATTCCGTCCTTAATACTTCTTTGAAGTAGGAGCTATTGTATTTCCCATTTTTCAGCTCAGGAAACTGAGGCACAAGTCAGTCACTGGAGGTAATAGAGTGTGTGAGTGTCACAGCTGGATTTCAGAATCAGACGTTTTCCCTCACAGTTCCTGCTCTTGACTACCATGCTATTTGGTAGGAAACAAGTTTAAAAATATTATCTACTTGTGAAGATTGTGTTACTGTTATTTCTAATACAACACAGGGAATTAAGTAATGCATACATGTCTTTAAATCTTCAACAGTGTTGCACATAACATATGTCTTCAAAATCAGTAGTTGGGTGATCAGAAAGTATATATGGAAGAATAAATAATGAAGGGTGAGTTTTGAATTGAGATGAATATAACGAAATCTAGATAACTTTACTGCCAAATGAATATTTGATTCATTTGAATCAATGGATGACTATAAATAGCTCTATAGTCCCACAAGTAATTCGATAAACTGATCTTCAACTCTATGAAGAAGGGTGAAATGTAAAATTGAGTAAGCAAGCTATTCCCAATTCAGATCAGTCACAGTTTAAGATTTTATGCTTTTGCTTTTACTCATCTCTACTTTATTTTTCAGTTATAATACAAATATTCTTTTTCCAGCATTACTTTTAGAGTTGCCAAAATGTTAATTTACAGTTGGATTTTTTTTTTCTGTTATCATTATTATGACACACTTGGCTCCTGGCTCTGTACTCCCAGATACTAATGAATCTAGCATTGCTGCACTGTTTCCAAACCCAACATGAGTATAGTAACTGTGTACACTTCTCAATAGGGCTCGAAAACTCAACCAGGGTGCAAATAAGCCAGCTCTAAGCAAAAGCTCCTCTTACGAGGTGGAGAGGCAGACAGCCAAATCCTACTTGCCGGAGGGATATAATTCATGCATAATGTTTCTATGAAGTGTGGGAACTAGGAGTCAAAACTCCTTAACAATTTTGTTGCAAGCCAGCCCCCTCCACAGGTTTCAAGTTAACTCCAGCTTCAGTTATGTGGCTGCCGATCCTCTGAAGGCCTGAGAACTGAACTGTTGTGAAATTAAAGAAGAGAGTTGTTTTAGTCAGTTCTTGCACTGCTAGAAAGAAATATTTGAGACTGGGTAATTAATTTATAAAGAAAAGAGGTTTAATTGGCTCATAGTTCTGCAGGCCATACAGGAATCGTAATGCTGGCATATGCTGGGCTTCTGGGGAGGCCTCAGGAAACTTATAATCATGGCAAAAGGCGAAGGGGGAGCTGGCACCTCACACAGCCGGAGCAGGGGGAAGAGGGTGGGAGGAGATGCCGCACACTTTTTTAAACGACCAGATCTCCCAAGACTCACTCACTATCACACAGAACAGCACCAAGGGGGAGCTCCGTCCCCAAGATCCAATCACCTCCCACCAGGCCCCACCTCCAACATTGGGGATTACCATTCCTCAGGAGATTTGAGTGGGGACACAGATCCAAACCATATCAAGAGTGAAAAGTTCTTACTCATTGATTTGTGGAGAGGCCACAAAAGTTAAGTGCCACTCTTGAAACATATGTCTAAAGAAAAAAGTTGAACTTTAGAAATCAAGCAAAATTGCTGGCTGTCAGCCAATGAACAGTCGAAAGATATAACTGGCAAGGGAAAGGTAGTCTGAGTTGAAATGATGGAAAGAAACATTGCTACCAATAATAAAAATCAGAGGAAAGATTATATTTTTAGACTGCCAACTCTGTTAGCATATGTTGTTATTTTTAATCTTTAATATTTTTACAAATGAAGAAAGGGAAATTAATATTTATACCAGAGAGAATGAAACATTAAGCACACATTCGGTCCATGATTGAACTCAATGTTCTCTACCTCACAGTATGTTATACCCACTCCTTTAATTAATTAATTATTATTATTATTATTATTATTATTATTTGAGACGGAGTTTCTCTCTTGTTGCCCAGGCTGGAGTACAATGGCACGATCTTGGCTCACTGCAACCTCCACCTCCCGGGTTCAAGCGATTCTCCTGCCTCAGTCTCCCGAGTGCCTGGGATTACAGGCACCCGCCACCAGGCCTGGCTATTTTTTTATATTTTTAGTAGAGACGGAGTTTCATCATGTTGGTCAGGCTGGTCTCAAACTCCTGACCTCAGGTGATTCACCTGCCTCGGCCTCCCAAAGTGCTGGGATTACAGGCATGAGTCACTGCGCCGGGCCCACTCCTTTAATTTCAGGAACACTAACCTCACAGAGGGCCTCAGTAGGCCCTGCAGTCCTCTCATACTTTCTCTTCTCTTCACCTTTCTCTCACCTAATGGTTGTCCCTGACTAGCAGTGTGACTTTAAGCAAGTCATTTAACCTCTCTATGTCTCAGTTTTCTCCTCTGTAAACTGAGGATAATAACAATGCCTCACGTGATTGTTAAGAGCATTAAAGACTATTAAAAATACAGCCCTTAGAACTGTGCCTAAACCATAGCAAGAGCTATGGAAATTTGTGGCTGTGATTCTTACTTCACCGACAAAAGTGCACCAGAGGAGCATTTCCTCGTGCTCTGTCATCTGACCATCTGTATCTTATGCCAGTCCTCTTAATGCTGTGGTAATGGTCTTTATCCCTATGTAGGGTTGATCTTTGCACTTTTAAGCTTAATGTGTTCCCTGAGCAAGACCATTTCTTCAGCAACTCATCCTTGTTTCATTGAATTTTCCTTCTCCGCTGGATAATTGCAAACAACCTAAAAGCATACTGCAGCATCTTTCATCTCAAAAACAGATAAGCAAACACAAACTCCATTTCCTCCAGCCTTTGTCCTATCTGTTTTGCCCCAATCCCTGCAACAAAACTCCATGAAAGAGTTAGTGTTATGGCATTTCACTATTCTAACTCGTCTCCTTTCTCGATTGCATTCCAGTTAATTTTCCTCTTTCTCTTTCTGTCAAACTGTTCTTTTCATCATCACCCTAACACCTATGTTGCTAAATCCAATAATTAATTTTTCTCTTTGTGACTTGATTTCTCGTCATGATGCATGTAACTAGTACCTCTCAGGCCCCCTTGAAAGACTCTTTTTCACTCGGCTTCCAGGACATCACAGTCTTCTATTTTTCTCCTACTGATCTGGTTTTGCAGGTTTCTCCTCATCTCTTCTAAATGCTCAAGTACCATAGTGTTGAGTCCATGAATTTCTGATTGTTTTCCTTTATCCATGCTCACTCTCATGGTGACCACATCCAATCTAATTGCTTTATAAAATGCTTTTTCTAAACTGGTGGCTCCCAAGTATACAGCTCTAGCCTGGCGCTTTCCCGGAACTCCCAGCAAATAATTCTAATTGTGCAGTCAATGTTTCCTCCTACATATCTTTTCAGCCCTTTCCAATTTATATATTCAAATCCAAATTCTTAAGCCTAATCCTTTCAGTTTCACCCTTTTCAGTAAATGACTACTCAATCTTCTTGTTGCTCCATCCATTGGTGCTATCTATGATTCTTACCTTTTCTTCAAAGGTCACATGCAGTCCACCAGGATATCCTCTTGATCCTATTTTTAAAGTGTATCTGGAGGCCAGACGCGGTGGCTCACGCCTGTAATCCCAGCAGTTTGGGAGGTCAAGGGGGGTGGATCACAAGGTCAGGGGATCAAGACCAGCCTGACCAACGTGGTGAAACTAACAAATACAAAAATTAGCTGGGCGTGGTGGCACACGCCTGTAATCCCAGCTACTCAGGAGGCTGAGGCAGGAGAATCACTTGAACCTGGGAGGCAGAGATTGCAGTGAGCCACGATTGCACCACTGCACTCCAGCCTGGTGACAGAGAGAGAATCTGTCAAAAAAAAAAAGAAGTATATCTGGAGTCTAAATCACTTTTCACCACCTTGAATGTAGCCATCCTGATCTAAGCCACCACCATCCCTCCTCTTGGTTTTTGCAATAAATCTTAAGTGATCTTCTTATTTCCACCTTTGTCTCATTTCAGTTTATCAACACAACTGTCAGAGAGATCCTTTAAAATATAAAAAAAGATCATGTCTCTCCTCGGCCTAGATATCCTCTGCTGGCATTCATCTCAGGGAAGGAAAATGCAAATCTTTACAGGAGCTTCCAAGGACTTATGAAGCCAACATGAGTTCCCCAGTGGTTCTGCTGCAGCAACACTGTCTTCCTGCTCTCACTGAACACAGGAGGCTCATTCCCAAGTCAAGGCATTTGCATTTTCTGTTTCCTTTGCCTGGGATTTTCTCCCATCAGATATCAGCATGACTTATTCTTTATCTTTTTCCATCTGTGGTGAAATATCATTTCACCCTCTTTCTTTCACCCACTTTAAATGTGCAAACCTCCCTAACCTCAGTGTTTGTTATCCCCTTTCCCTGTTTTAAAAATAGAGGCTAATACCGTCTGACATGCTATGTGTTTTACTTACTTGTTTATTGTTACTTTCATCCTCCAGAACCTAAGATCTTTGAGTGTAGAGATTTTCATCTATTTTGTTCATTAGTTTATCTATCAAGTCTAAGACTATTATGCAACACAGAACAGTTCTCAATAAATATTTGCTGTAGGAACGACTCCAAAAAATTTTGTATCTTTTCTTCACATCTTCTTATGGTGTACTCTCTGATTTGTTAACATTTTTACAACATGAGCTTATTCTATTCTCATAACAAAGCTGCAACCTACATTATGCAAATGTATCTCCATTTCACATATAAATGTTATACTTTAAAGGGATTAAGCAAGTTGCTTAAGATTAGTCAGACCTCAGTGCTATCATTCTAAATCCGTGCTACTGCATAATTCAATAAAAATAATGCTAAATTTTTGCTTTATGAAATTTGTAAAAAAAAAACTCCCCTAAACTTTTTGTCCACTGGTTGATAATAAAAGAAAAAAGAGTCCTACAAATACAAATAACTCAGATTTTTTTCATTTCTTTCTTTCTCAGCATTTATGATTGATTCATGAAAGATTATTGAGTACTACATTGAATTATTCACTGGCATTAGAACATATAATGTATGGGGGTTACTGCTTTTTATGTCCACATACAACATCACAAACTGAATATTCTGGTAGACGTCTAACAGTATTGTATTCATGATCATATTCAAAATGATTAGTTGTAAGCTAAGCCTTTGGATTTGCATGCTTATTTGGTTTTAAACCAACTGAACACTACAATTTGAATGCTTTTTGTTTTAGCTAAAGAATAACCTATTAACTTTTCCTGGAAATGTATGGAATCAGGCAATACAAAAAGGAATAACGCTGAGAAGCACTATTAGAGTCAGGATGCGTAAAGGACTGGGGTGAACTCAGTATGATTTGGGAGCAGGTGTTAAATAGACAAGAATCTACCATAGTCCCTTAAAGCAGTATTGCAATACATCTCTGGTTCCCTCACTATTTATATTTCCATTCCTTTCATATTTTCTCAGATGTTTCTATCTGCTATTACTCAAGTCATTCCCAGTTATGAATTTTCCTATGACTTTGATTACAGGATGTAATCTGCTGCATTATATAGTAGACATGAATATAATCTGCTGCATTATATATAGCTACTAATAGGAGGTTCTCACTATTTTTAGGCAAATTCTTGTTGTTCCCTGTTCTTTTTTGACACAAATCTTTGACCTCCCTTTAATTGCATTGATTGTTTCTAACCCTGGCTGCCTTCTCTGTACCCATTGTCTTATAGGCCAGTGCACTACAGCTGTCTCATTTGTATAATTCAACAAATGTTCCGAGAGATAGAATTGTGAACACCATTGTTTCTAGCTGTAAATAGAAGCAAGTTGCTTGGTGTGTTTCTGGGTAATTTCATCTGTGGTTTCCATTCAGATACTCTTACAAATGGTCTTGTTTCAGAAACAATTTAGTTCCTCCCTCCTCAGCCCTATCTCACTAAAATGTATGTGATACATAAACTTAGCAAAAACTCACTTCTATTTAAATTTGCCAGTTCTAGCTCTTTGTTCTATTCACCTTTATTGTCTGCTTACCTCCTTGTAATGCTCTAATTTATATAAGTAAAGATCTTGAACACTGGAAGGCAGCAAATTACACAGGACCTGTCTAGTCTTGAAGAGCAGATGTGATGTCTTACTTTTGCAACCCCACAGTTCCTAGCACGGTGTGTGCAGATTGAATAAGTAGATATCTGTGAGTTATATTACAACATTTTAAAATTCCACCACGCTTATCAAAGTGGGAACAGGATGCACATTTCAACCTGCAGCCTCATTTTTTCTTTTTTCTAATTTGTTTACCTCTCAGTTATCACTTTCAAGTTTTCACTTTCACAGTGTAAGCCTGTAACAGTGAGCAATAAGCTTTTCTCTCTTTATTATTACCCAAGCTAATGCCATACATATTGATTAAAATATGAAAGGTGAGAAACACGTCATTCACCTTGTAGAATTTTTGAGAAATATTTGAAGTGTTAATCAGTCAAATGATAATGAATACCAACTATCTAGTAACTAATAACTTCATCTAGTGGTAGTAATAATACTTTACATATATTATTCCATTTAATCCTCAAGACAGCTTAGTGTTGAGTATAATATTATTACTGTTATTTTACCAATGAAGTAAATTAGGTTTATAATGGTTAAATAACTTGCCAAAGATCACAGAGCAATCAAAAAAACCAAGTTGAATTCAAACCAAAAGTGTATCTGAGTCCAGAGCCTGTCCTCTTCCAAACTGTAATACTTCAAACAATATTACATTAAGGTTTATGCTTTTGAGTGGCTTCATAGGTTATATATAATGTGTCCAAATCCAAGTTGGAAAGAACAATTCAAGTTAATAATTTCTATTTTGATAATGTGTGTAGCACAGTACATTCCTCAAGAGAATTTATAATCAATAACCTTTCCATATGAAGGTTAAAAAAATTTGGACAAGGCCAGGCGCAGTGGCTCACGCCTGTAATCCCAGCACTTTGGGAGGCCGAGGCAGGCAGATCACGAGGTCAGGAGATCGAGACCACCCTGGCTAACACGGTGAAACCCCATCTCTACTAAAAATACAAAAAATTAGCCAGGCGTGGTGGTGGGCGCCTGTAATCCCAGCTACTCGGGAGGCTGAGGCAGGAGAACGGCGTGAACCCGGGAGGCAGAGCTTGCAGTGAGCCGAGATCGCGCCACTGCACTCCAGCCTGGGCGACAGAGCGAGATTCCATCTCAAAAAATAAAAATAAAAAAAAAATTTGGACAAGGACAAACAGGGCTCTGGTAGAAGGCAGATTGTGGTAAGTTTGATTAAGGATATTTGTAATGCCCTGGGGAATCTTGAGGAAGGAGAGAAGTGTCACTATCTTTTAGAGAGTGTCACTCCTTGGGCATTGGGGTGAAGAAAGAGGAAGAGACAGGTATCTTTGCTAACAGTGGTGGAACATCTCACTAAATGGGCAGGAGTCTAACAAAAGGGAAGAGAAAATAAAGCGTGAAAAAGCATTTCAGACAGAAGAAAGAGGATGGAGTGAGGTACACAAATAAGAAATTTGTAAACCCTAAAAGCATAAATTAGGCAAGAGACTAGAAAGAGCGAAGAGCCTAGTTTTGGAAAAGAAAGAAAAATATCTGATAGTTATTTTTTAATGTGGCTCAGGAAAGAAGAAGCAAGTCAAATCCAAACACAACAGCCAGATGCTTCATGTAGTCTGTGATAGAGATCAAGGCTATGATTAGAAGATGTTTCAGGGTATTGAGAAGAGTATACAACTTAGAAATAACTCTAGGTTGTATACTCTTCTCAATACCCTGAAACATCTAATCATAGCCTTGGTCTCTATCACTTAGAAATAACTCTAAGCCAGGCACGGTGGCTCACACCTGTAATCCCAGGACTTTGGGAGGCCGAGGTGGGTGGATAACTTTAGGTTAGGAGTTTGATACCAGGCTGGCCAACATGGTGAAACCACATCTCTACTAAAAATACAAAAAGTAGCCAGGCATGATGGCACGCACCTGTAATCCCAGCCACTTGGGATGCTGAGGCACAAGAATCGCTTGAACCCGGGAGAGGGAGGTTGCAGTGAGCCGAGAATGAGCCACTGCACTCCAGCCTGGGTGACAGAGCAAGACTCTATCTCAAAATTAAAAAAAAAAAAAAAAAAAAGAGAACTCTAGCTTTCATAAGACACATAGTGTTGAATATGAAATGATATTCATTTAATGCCAATTTTATTGACATCCATTAACTTTATTAAATGCCAAGTGTAGTTTGACATAGCCAGTTACACTTGTGTTAATAAAAACAGCAATTACAACAACGCAACTGTTCCACGGAGCAGATTTTAGGATCTGGAACCAGTAGCCAGTAAAGCTCTTTGAAGGAAGATGATGGTTCCTATCTCCCTCAACTGAAACCACCTTTGCAAAATTATGACAGTGAGAAAAATCTGACATAGTTGACTCCATGTTGCTTCTTACTCCCAAGCTGTTCATGGTTATTCCTGGACATGGACCAAGCTGACTTTGGGAGTAATTTAGTTTATAGTTTAACCTTAAAGCAAGGATGATGATAGCCCTTCCCAAAGCTAAATCAGTTTTGTAAAACTAATAAAAGTCCGCAAGGTTAATATTAGGAGAGGGGCCTGAATTCTTCTAAGATGTAGGTGTAGTTAAATGATAACCAGCCATTGTTCTGGAAGTCACAAGATGTGTAACTTCCCCAGTTACTCCTGTAGATAACGTCACTATTGTAGAATATACATTGGCCTTTTGAGAGGTCTTTTCAGACTTTTTGCATTTCTGATGACCAGCTGACTCTACCCAGGCCAAGGATTCATGATTCAATCATTCCTGTGGCTCCCACCCGGAGGCTGAGTCAGCCAGTGTGGACTGTTTTCCACACCTCTATGATTTCATTCCCAGCCACACAACATTCCCCATTCCCTAGCCTTGACCACCAAAATATCCTTGAGAAACCCTAACCTCCTGAGCCTTCTGTGAGAAATTGATTCAAGTAAATAACTGTCTCCCAAGTGGTATTGCTGGCCTTGCCTCAATTATACTCTTTCTTCACTGCAGTGCCATGGTCTCAGTGAACTGGTTTTGTCTTTGCAGTGGGCAGGAAGATCCCACTGGACGATTACACAACTTGGATGTCACAGCCACTCAGGGACTGCCATAGGTGGGTGACTCATTTCAGTTTCTGAGGTCACCCATTTAGTGGCAATGAAATCATTTCTGCTTTTCCTTCCTGTGAATCCACTACTCCCACTGCTGGAATATTAATTCAAGTGGAGCTACAAGATGCAAAGATCATAGAGCAGGCTTAAAGCTGATCCATGCCATTCTTTTAAAAAGGTTGGAAAGTGAATTTGTAACTTTGGCAACAGAAAGGTATTTTTCAATCACAATTTACAGAATTGTCTTGGTTGTATTGTTGTCCTTTGGTAAGTTAAAGCATGTTGTGCTAAAATGTTACTCCCCAAGGACTAAGAATTGCCTCAATACATTCTGTTTTATGCCTATTGCACGTACTCGCGTGGGAACTTTATAAATATTATTCTAATTAGAAAGCCTTGAATATCTATTGCTCTAGGAGACTCAGGATCCTTTATTAATTCATGATGTGGTTCAAGCTAGCTGTGAAGTTATGGGAGTGTGAATAAGTATCATCAACTCCAGATGTCTTATGTAATACAGACCACAGTGATGAATGAGACCTTCCTGCAGTCATGCCAAACAATCTGTTGAGAGATGTTGATTTAATAACTTTCTTAAGGAAAGCACAGTGCAAGCTACCGGCCGGGGGAGAGGGAGAAGAATTAGTTGCAGATCCTACCCCAGAGAAATACAAACTAGTGCAACAGAGAAGTGTGCTTCTGTGTTTAAAATGGCACCGATTATTTTCCCCCAAGCACTATATTAAATGTGAGGACTTTAGTAAACCCATTGTTTGCTTCCTTTTGGATTGTTGAGAGTCCAAAGCAATTAATGCAACTTTTAAGGTATTCTAGGCAAATGTTTTACCTAATGAGAAAAAACAACAACACATTTGTATTTGCACATTTATTGAGGAGAAAGCAATTGAACTCTAGTAAGTTTTTTTTTTTTTTCTCAGAGTACTGAATATTTTATCTTTAATTCCTAAGTCACAATAACCTGGAGAATGTTAATTAGTTCATTTGGTTCTTCTATAAATATTTTCTTTTTAAGAGGTACAATGGCCTGGTGCGGTGGCTCACACCTGTAATCCCAGCACTTTGGGTGGCCGAGGCGGGTAGATCACGAGGTCAGGAGTTCAAGACCAGCCTGACCAATACGGTAAAACCCTGTCTCTACTAAAAATACAAAAATTAGCTGGCGTGGTGGCACGTGCCTGTAGTCCCAGCTACTCAGGAAGCTGAGGCAGAAGAATTGCTTGAACCTGGGGTTGCAGTGAGCCAAGTTTGCGCCACTGCACTCCAGCCTGGGTGACAGAGTGAGACTCCGTCAAAAAAAAAAAAAAAAAAGTATAATGTTTGAGGCACACAACACTCTGGTTCAAGGTAGAAATTCTACATACACACACATATTAACAAAAGGAAACATGACGATGGGGTCCTTGATGGACAACAATATCAGTTGGGTATGCTACCATAAGCCAGTTTTCCAGTTTGTTCTGTTTAATTATTGCTCTATTAAAAACCCATTCTATTTTAGTTCAGTGAAGATGGTAAAAAATGGAAAATTTTATTTTGAACCCTTGAAAGAGCATTGGTTCTCTCACAATTACTACTGATGGAAAGAACGGAATGGCACTCATAACTTGTGACAGATAATGTGAAATACAGGGTAACATTAGCGGGCTTCCTCATATAAGTTCACACCAGACATCTTACTATTGTGGAAATGATATTTTCAGACTTTTAGTGCTAGGAATTCCATTAAACTAACCTAAAGATGCTTAGAGGATGCATACATATTAATAAAACTCATAAACAACAAAACATGTATAAAATTCCCTAAATTACCATGAGAAATACAACTTCCATGCAACTGGTTAACCGTTTGTTTCTCATTCTCTCAGTTAGCAAATACATCCTTTTAAGATATCAAATAACCATTAATTGCTTGATAGCATCGAATATTCTGAATGGACAGTCTCATCATGCATGCATATTCAGGTCGGGATAGTTATACTGAAGTCCTGTATCTGTTCATCAAAACCTTCACCTAGTCATCTAGAGATACACTGACAGATATTTACTGTCAATCCTCCTAAAGATTTGCTTCATGCATACTTGCTCACCCTTCAGTTACTGTCATAATACTTAAAATGATGAACCGCAAATCAGTTTGTTGAGGGAGGCACTGAAGTAGAGTGTTTAACACAGACCACCATTTACCGATTAAGTGACCTTGGGCCCATTACATAACTGCTCTTGACACTAACTCATTCATCTGCTTACTTAATAAGCATTTACTAAGTGGACTAGGTTCTAAGTACTGTAGGAGGCACTTGATGAGGTGGTGGGAGTGAGAAGATTCTAAGATGTTCTTCCTTTATGGAGAACACACTGTCATTGAGGAACAAGTGTCAAATACAAGTTATGTATAGTAGAACGTACTAAATGCAATCATAGCTCAACACAGGCAAATTTCTAAAAAAATTATACCCATCATCTTTGACTTGCACCTTCAGCACTTCCAAAATCTCAGCTAAAAACATTCATGAAATATCTCCTCAATTGTGTTTTCTCTTTAAGATAAATATAATGCATTATGTATTCCCTGAGTATCATATCCAGAAATATATGATGTTAATTTGTCCTTATTGATGACATTAATTTTAATCACTAGGTGATGTGTTGTTTTCTCCATTTAATAGTTACTCTTTCTTCCTCAAAAAATCATCCTTACTTGGTATTCTCAAATACCAAATGCTAAATATCCTTTACTAACTGCATCGGTTATCTATTCAATAACAGCTGGCAGCTATGCAAGAGCGAGAAAGACCAATCATGCAGACTATCTTCAAACCTCTACTTCAATCATGTTTGCTGATGTTTCATTGACTAAGGCTAGTTCCAGCCTGGGTGCAGAGTCAGTTTGGGAATGCACTACAAAAATATATGACAGAAGGAAGGAATATAGGGAGGGTAAAGAATTGTGGCCGTTAATGCAATCAATCTACCACATGTAAAATTAACACCGAATTTATGTCGGCACTGAGGACATTTCTCATGTAAATATTCTAAGAAAAAATGAACTAGTGTATTCACACTCTATAATTGTGGCCTACAATATAATACAGTACAATATAAAATACACTACGTAGGAATGGGTACAGTGTTTTATGTCAACTCTCTGGGTTGTGAACTCATTTTACTGTTGTTTATTAAGTTTTTAAAGCTCTAGAAGGCATGATTCTGGTATGATGTTGACTACCATGATGGAACAAATATAAATTATATCTTTCAAACTATGTTTGTTCTCAGAAATGTCCACTGACAATGAGACAGCAAGGTGGGAGGAGATCCCTGGAGAAACTCCAACCAGCCTGCCCACTGGGGTGGAGCCTCAGGAAGTTCACACGTTTGCGTTTGCAGTGAGGAGAAGCCTGGCTCCTCCTCTTCCTGTGTGGAACCTGGGATTCTAATGGCGGGCGGGAAGCTCTCTGACAGGTACTCTGGCTTAATGAGAGTCCCTGTTTCCCCCTTTTCTTCCTTTTCACCCAATAAAACCGTGTCTTACTCACCATTCAAATGGTCCGTGAGCCTGAAGTTTCGTGACCGTGGGAGAAAGAACCCTGTCTTTAGCTGAACTAAGGAAAAGTCCTGTAACAACAAGTTTGCCACAACTGAGTATCTATAAAAAACAGCTTTAAGAACGTAACAGACTGTGGTAGATCAATTCCTACAAAACATGATTGTCACAAATTCCACAAAATACCCCATTTTTTTTTTCCCCACAGTGTCCCTTTTAGTAACCATGGTCTTTTACTATGATGTCTCATAGTAAATTACAAGAAGACATTTAGATAATAACAACTTTGCATATATTATCTTGTGTAGCATACAAAATGTATATATATATATATATCCTTGTGTAAAGTCCAGGTATGAGACATGCAACTGATTTCCTCAAAATGTTTTAAAAATGTTTCATTAAAGGCCAAGGTTTAGACAGCTTACAAATGCCTCCTTTACTGTAATAGAACATTTTATTCTTGCCTTACCATTCATTTAGCAAAGCAATAGGGATGACCCAAATCGCCGATACTGGAGCCCTCAGTGTAACAGCAAAGCTTCACAAAAGCCCTGGGAATATGAAGATTTGATGAGAACAGATGGAAATCGACCTGCTGCCCATGGACATTCGCTCCCTACATTCCTCTCCAAACAAACTAAGTTGGTCTTTACAACCAAAAAATGTGAGACTCTCTCCAGCCATTATCTCTTTGCCTTGAGGGTTTAAAGGCATAATCCTAACCAGGGTAGTTGCCTAAAGGAGTTAACAACAGTGTAGCAGAGGTGGTTTTGGCTCTTTCCCCTGGGATGCGTTCCTTTCCTTCTATTTAGATGGGCTTTCCGCAATATATAATACCAGATAGAATAGCTATAGCTCTAAGGATCATAGGCTGATAGGCCAAAATAATCACAATATTAAAGAAAAGTACTATATACGTCAGAATAGAATAGGTTTTGCTGTGTTAAAAAAAAACATAAAAATCCCAAACTAAACATTCTCATACCATATGCTCTCTCAATCTTGATCCTTAGAATTTACCCAAAGAAGTTAAAAAGCTATGTGCACAAAAAATCCAACAGGATATTAATAGAAGCTTTATTCATCATTGCCAAAACTTGCAAGCAACCAAGATGTCCTTTAGTAGGTGAATAAAAAACAAACTGTGGGATATCCAAACAATGGAACATTGTTCAGCACTAAAAATAAATGAGCTATCAAACCATGAAAAGACATGGCATCAACCTTAACTGCATGCGATTGATTGAAAGAAGCCAATCTTAAAAGATTACTTATTGCATCATTTCAACTATGTGACATTCTGGAAAAGGCAAAACTAGAGAGAAAATAAAAAGACTGGCCAGGTGTGGTGACTAACACCTGTAATCCCAGCACTTTGGGAGGCCAAGGCGGGAAGGTCACCTGAGGTCAGGAGTTCAAGACCAGTCTGGCCAACATAGTGAAACCCGATCTCTACAAAAATACAAAAAATTAGCCGGGCATGTTGGCAGGTGCCTGTAATCCCAGCTACTCGGGAGGCTGAAGTGGGAGAATCGCTTGAACCCAGGAGGAGGAGGTTGCAGTGAGCCAAGATCACAACACTGCAGTCCAGCCTGGGTTGAGTTGAGACTCCCTCACAAACAAACAAACAAACAAAACCAAAAGAAAACAAAAGATCACTAGTTGCCAGGGGTCAAGGTGGAGGTGGCGGATGAAGAAGTAGGTCTCACACAGGATTTTTAGGGCAGTGAAACTACTCTGTATGATACTATAATGGTGGATACGTGTCATTATACACTTATGCACTTATCCAACTCCATCTCTTATGGAGATACTGTTAACAGCAAAGGCTATTCATATGTGGAGTCAGGTGATATGTGGGAAATATTTATCCTTCCTCTAAATTTTGCTGTAAACCTAAACTGTTCTAAACACCAAAGTCAATTAAATAGTACAAAAATCTTAGGCAAAAACAATAAAATAAAGACTATACTAACTTCCAGATTTTCTTCATTGCTTTGATGAAAATATGTTTTCATGTATTTGTGAATTTCTGCTCCTCTCTTGTGTGCTTGGCAGGCTTTCAGGTACTAGAGACACAGCAGGGAGTAGAACAAGGACTCCCCATGGCATTTAATTCTAGTCCAGCAAACAAAGAAAAACTGAACAAAGAAATGGGCACAAAGTTTACTCTTAGTAATGTGTGCTAGGAGGGAAACATTTTTACTGATCTGTGTTTCTCTGCCTAATTGTTCCTCAAGTTGTTGTTTCATTAATTAGAAAACATTGAGGGCTGGGCTCGATGGCTCACGCCTGTAATTTCAGCACTTTGGGAGGCCGAGGCAGGCAGATCACTTGAGGTCAGGAGTTCGAGACCGGCCTGGCCAACATGGCGAAATCCCGTCTCTACTAAATACACAAACATTTGTCAGGTATGGTGGTGCGTGCCTGTAATCCCAGCTACTTGGGAGGCTGAGGCAGGAGAATGGCGTGAACCCGGGAGGCGGAGCTTGCAGTGAGCTGAGATCACACCACTGCACTCCAGTCTGGGTGACAGAGGGGGACTGTCAAAGAAAAGAAAAGAGAGAAAGAAGAGAAGAGAGAGAAGAGGAGAGGAAAGGAGAGGAGAGGAGAGATAAGACTGAGGCTTTTATAAAGCTGGACTCATTCATTAGGAAGCACATGGAAATGGGTGTATGCACGCATGTACACACACACACACACACACTCGCGGGACTTTTTCAACATTTCTTTTAAAACGTACATGATTTCACTTATTTTGTATTTCATCTCAAACTCTTCAGGAAGCTAGTCTCAGCCAACTAGACACTAAGGAAGCAAGCCATCCATCTGCAGTAATGAGGAAAATCATTAGATAATTCATGCTATTGTATGTTCCTACACATCAATCTTCTCTGAAAAGCCATTAAGATTTAATCCAAAAATTTATTCTCAAAGGAAGGTAATAGGACTTCAGAGCACAGAAAATAACTAAGTTAACAATAAGAAAATATATCATTTCTAAAATACAGGGCTTTGTTGATCTGACATTTAAATCTCCCTTTTAACCACCAGTACAGAAATGTGTTCTAAGGGCTGAAATGCACACTGCACTAAACCACTGGATTTGGAAACGCCAATAGATATCATTGGACTTTTACAATTTAATTTCTAAATTGAACTATTTTCTATCCCTTTTCTTCATATATTTCTCCATTCTTTTGTTTCCTTTTTATTTTGGTGCCTATCCCTAGTTATGAGAAGCAATCACTAGTAGATATGTATATGCTTTTGACATGTATATGTATAGTAATAACTACATATATAGTGTGTATAGAGTGTTTATGTCATATATATGTTTATATATATCTATATAGATAGCTATATATGTGTCTGTATATATGGCTCAGGCCAATATATAAATACGTATGTGTGTGTCTATATATATATGTGTGTGTGTGTGTGTGTATATATATGTATATATATAAAACTATCTTCCAGCAAACTGTTTCCAAAATTATACCTTAAAGGACACTTAGTCAAAGGAAAATCTCCAACACCTCTTTCCTTTCATCTCTTCTGAACAACAAAAGGTGTAATTTTTTTGAGCAGATCAATAGTTGTTTTTAGGTTGTTTTTGGAAAATGAGTCTAATCTGAGGAACCCTTGTTCAATCTACTTTTGTTGTTCATTTTCATTAATTTTTAAACTCAAGCTATTTATGCAACACTTATGGAGGAGAAAACAGTTGAAGAATAATCTCAGAAACTGACAGGACATGATGAAATGCGTTGTCAATCCTTTTGGTATGTTTTTTTCCTTTTGTAGTCAAATTTCCATGTGCCTTTTCTAAGAAGAAAGAAGTAATAAGAAACAACTGTCATTTCTAATTCCTTATAGTGAAAAAATGATCTGCCATAGGATATTAATTTCTCACAATAGGCTTCAATAATTTTGACCCAGAATGGAGCGCAGGATCACCACCCAGAAACTTAAGAGTAAATAAACACCAGGTAGGCATTTATAACTGCCAAAGCTCACGTGAGGATGAAATGACACAGCACACGGCCAGGCATTAGAAGGTCCTGTTAAAAGCAGAACAAATAACTATCTGTTGGCTCTAGCACAGCTATCTGTCCTAATTAGATGTCCTACTGTCCTTGTAATATGGGTTGGCTGTGTCCCCACCCCAATCTCATCTTGAACTGTAGCGCCCATAATTCCCATGTGTTGTGGGAGGGACCTGGTGGGAAATAACTGAATCATGGGGCCGGTTTCACTTATACTGTTTTCTTGGTAGTGAGTAAGTCTCCCAAGATCTGATGGTTTTATAAGGGGAAACCCTTTTGGCTTGGCTCTCATTCTCTCTCTTGCCTGCTGTGATGTGAGGCCTGCCTTTTGCCTTCCGCCGTGATGGTGAGGGCCCCCAGCCACATGGAACTGAGTCTATTAAACTTCTTTTTCTTTATAAATTACCCAGTCTTGATTATGTCTTTATCAACAGTGTAAAAATGAATTAATACACCTTGCCATGCCTTCAATTTTGTTTTTAATAAAGATCATTCTATTTTATCTTTCATATCCAAGCTCCTATTCTGATCATTTTAGTATAGGGAAGAGGCAGCTTGGGGGTCTGGAAGAGAATCCCAGGATTATTAAGGCTTAGATTTGGCAGTAATTAACAAAACTAGGAGAAAACCTGTATTCTTGTTTTAGTCCCGATTTGATATCATATCTTCCTTTCAGTGTCATATTTCCCTCCTTCTCTCTCTTTCTTTTCTTCCATTCCTCAATGAACGCCTGCTATTCTACTGTTCCCTTTGCTTTCCTTCTATTACCTAAAGTCTCATATCAATGCCCACACTCCATTCACTTTGCTTTGAAATTATTCCTTCTTCCACTCTACTACTGCATGGAAAGAAGAAATAATTCAATAAATCATTGATGGCAAAGTATTTGACTAAATAACATTTCATGAACATAGGCTTTTAGTCACAATTTTTAGTTTAATGTAAGGAGTAGATTTGCAAGAATAAGCTTTGAGAAACACTTATGTATTTAAAGAGTTATTTCCCAAAATATCTCATGATGTAAGCAAAATATTTTGAAGCATGAGGACTTTTTCATACACTTAAGTCAGAAATATTGGAAGGGAGTTCCTTCTACTATAAGGAAATTTGGTCTAGTCTAGGACCATAAATGATCTTACATTTATTGGGCATTAAATACAAGACAACATGCACACATCATTTCTTTGAATTTAAAAAAAGATAAAGTAAGAATGTCAGTTTATCTTCCGCAGGTGTATACCCAAAATAATAATTTCCTTATTTAAAAAAAATCAGCTTCTTTCTGATTTTCATCCTTCATCTGTAGCTGATGATTCTGTGTTGAAGGGAAATTCAGTCTCAGTCATATTGTCGTCTTCGCTACACTCTGTCCCTGAATAGTTGGTTTTCACTAAGTTCCCAGGGTATTACTCAAACCCATAGCACTGGCTGCCAGAGAAGCCATGTTATGTTGTCTAAGGCTACTTAACCCCACCACAGCTTGAAATTCTCTGCTTGAAAGCCACCCATAGGAAAGAGAACTCTTTGATGGGATTGACAGCATCTGTACCAGGTTACAGCCTCCCTAAGGGTGTCACACAGGCATTCTTGTTGAGGGGTTGCCACCTCACTACTGGGATTAGGATGGGGAAGAGGGTGGCCAGATGCTGGGGGAAATTTGCTGATCTGTTTCCCTTGTTCCCACGCGAGTTTCATTCAGGGAAGGTCACCTTCCTGCCTCTGACTTTACAACATCACTATCGCTCCTAATCTACCTCCAGAATAACCAACAAAAAGTCTTTGACAGCATTAGGCCCTTCTAAAATGCAGGCAGAGCCACTGACCTCAAGTTGATTCTTCTTTATACCTTGGCTAAATCATAGGAACAACAAATTATAAAAACTCACTGCTTGCTTGAAATGGAAGAGAGGCCATGGAGAAAAATAACGTTTTACCTGTATAACACAAGATTTGTACAAGATAACATAAGAGACTGACGGTGTCTTCCTAGCTTCACTTGGTGCCAGAAATAAACATCTGGAAAGTGCAGGGAACACTCAAAAAAATCATCTTGCTCTCCATATTGTGTTGGTGCATAATACAAAGTAGAATTCAATACTGTGGATGGCTCTTTTTCTTGCCATATTCTGCCCTCTTGCTTCTCTGATGTGCACCCAGTATAAGAGCTTACAGTTTCTCTTTGTTGCTGTTCCTTCATGGTTTCTGTTGCTGGTTTTCATTTTACTTGATCTCTATATGTCACAGCTCCTCAAGGCTCAATCTTTACCCCGTGCTGTTCTCTGTATTGTAATATCATCAATCCTATGATTTTAAATATGATATATAGTCACGTACCATATAACAATCTTTCAGCCAGTGATGGACCCCCTATACAATGGTGGTCCCATAAGATTATAATATCATTTTTTACTGTACCTTTTTATGTTTAGATACACAAACACTTACCATTGTGTTATACTTGCCTGCGGTATTCAGAACAGTAACATGCTGTACAGGCTTGTAACCTACAAGCAACAGGCTGTACCATGTAGCCTAGGTGTGCAGTAGCCTATACTGTCTAGGATTATGTAAGTACATTCTATAATGTTCACACAATGAACATTATAGGAACATATAGGAAGTTGCCTAATGATGCATTTCTCAGAACATATCCCTGTCATTATGTAAAGCATGACCTTATATTTTCACAATTCCTAATTTTATTTTTCCCTCCAATGCTTTCTCTAAGATTCCAATTAATGAACAATTGTCTACTTAAAATGTCCGATATAATTCCTCCAGACGCTTCAGTCTAAATCCTTGAGACGCTTCCCTCCAACACCTTTTCCTCATCATTTTCATAATCTCGTTTGTCTCTTACTTTTCCTTTCCTCACGCCTTATATCAAATCATTCAATAAATCCTTAATTTGTCTCCCAAAATACATCTCAAATCCATCCATATTTTTGGTCTCCATGAGGGTTGGAACTTGACTATTTTGCTTACTATTGGGTTCCCATAGCATAGAAGAGTGTCGAATACCTAGTAGTTAATTAACAAATAATTTTTAAATGAGTAAATTTAAGCAGCAAATAGTGTTGTGAACTATATTAGAGAAACTCTGCTCCAAAGATTCTCACATTTTTGCTTTCCAGTTAGAGTTTTGCACTGAATAAGATTCATCTCAGGTTCTGTAACTTTATCTTTCCCCTTGTAGAAACTAGTGTAGGTGCTTTTAAAAATTCATATATATGTGTATATGGACATATATAATTTTCTGTATTATACTGTGTCTCTAGGCATCTATCCATCTTCCAATCTGCCATCTCAATATTACATTGGAAAATAGAAATTTTGTCTGAACTGCAATATTAAAACTGATATTTCCCTTGAGGAACTAGTAGAATAAATATTTATTCTATTATAAAATATATTTAGGCATTAAATATTTAAAAATTAAAATATTAAAAGATCATTCTTTAGATGTCATGGGTTTCCATCTGTTTACTTAATCCGTTAAAAAATGTATCCTTTCTTGTTGAGAGAAGAATGGGGAATAGAATATGTGACACTGACCTAATTAATAAGTATGTGGGATTAGACTAGGAAGTGGGTTGAATTCGAGTCACTTCAGATTTTTATTCTAAAAATAAACTTTCACTTACAATTGAACCAGTTTTCCAGAGATTGAGCATCTTGGAATTGGCCACCTTTCCCTACCCTTCCTGAATGATATCATATTCCTTATATATGCATTATGAATCTTTTCATCAATAGGAAATGTAGGAGAAGTGGTATTAATTAAACAACAGCATAAAAATGAAATACAAAAAATAAACTTTGGAAGATTATTTCTACATGTTTGGATAAAAGATTTTTTTAATGTATTTTTTTAAGACAGGGTCTTGCTATGTTGCCCTTCAGATTTCCCTTTTCTGTTGGAAGGAAGGAAGGAAGGAAGGAAGGAAGGAAGGAAGGAAGGAAGGAAGGAAGGGAGGAAGGGAGGGTGGGAGGGAGGGAAAAAGAAGAAAGAAAGAAAAGAGAGAGAGAGAAAGAAAGAAAGAAAGAAAAGAACAGACGAACTAGGTATTTCCACACAAGAAAATACTACTCAGTGATAAAATGGACTGATATACTCACCAGCATATGTAATAAATGCATCATGCTAAGTGAAACAAGCAAATAAAAAGTATACATATGTATTCCATGATTTCATTTAAATGACTTTCTGGAAGAGACAAATGCATAGAAGAAGCAGAAAGCAATGCAGTGTTTTCCAGAGGACAGAACGGGGATAAAGTTGACTAAAAAAGGACATGAGATAATATTTTGGGTGATGGAAATTTTCAATATCTTGATGGTGCATTTGTCAAAACTCACTGAATTCTACACTCGAAAGCATACATTTTACTGGATGTAACTTATATTTCAGTAAAATATACTGGGAAAGTCCATTTGTTAAATCAATCAATCCTACAATCAGTAAGTTAAGAAATACTGATGTGTCACTCTCAGGTATATGATTGATATTTTGGCAGTAATATTATAGTGAAAAATCAATATGATAAAATGTGTGACAACATCTCAATTTATATGAATTTCAGATTATGTTACTTTTAATTATCTTCCTACAGTAAAGTATATCTGGTGCAAATATATAAGGGGACAAGAGAAACTTGGATGGTAAATTGCCCAAATAAGAAAATGGGTTTTTGTGTTGGCTTTAAATCATGGATACACATAGCAGAAAACTCAGTAATGAGGACTTTATCTAAAAGGCAATCCATAGCTCTGCTAGAGTAATTCTGAGTCCTTCTGTTGCCTGTGCTGGGTAAGAGGGGAAGGTCTATTTCTCATGAGAGAACCTCAATGTTTAACATGTGAATACAGTGACAGGCAGTCTGGAAAGTACATACATGCATCTATTAAATATATCAAATATTGGTCTCTGTGACCTTCAAGAGATGATATTAAGAAAAAAAATCCAAAAAAGTTGTAAAAGAAGAGAACACTCTTCGCTCCTGTACACTCCCAGAGCAGTCATGCCGGGAGCTTTGCTTCAAGCAACACACTTACTCACAAAGCACAGGCAAGTTTAATTGCTCCCCTCAGGCACTAGAGATCTGAAGGCTTCAAATTTCCCTTTCCTATTTAAAATAAAAATCTGAGCATTTTCTATTTTATAAAATAATGAATAATTAAATGTTGACATTTATCTTCCATTGACCTTTCTGAAGCACCAACAGATAGACACCTCCCTCTGCCTTTCTCACTCTCTGGTGTTCCAGGTTTTCCAAACAGTGTTCTTGCTTGGGGTGTTCCGTGAAGTGGACAGGATACAACTGCATACAAATAGCAGTTTTTTAATGCTTTTGTTTTTTTTAGCATGAAATCAAGCTTAAATCAACAAATTATAATCTGACAAAACTTTTAAAATAATCTTTGTGGTACATAATATTAAAAGTGTAAAAATTTTTGTCATAGTAAACATATGTGGCTCAAAAGATAGGTATGGTAACGAGAAGGCATGAACATAATCTCTATTTTTGGGTTGCAATTTTTGAAACAGGGTCTTGCTCTGCCACCCAGGTTGGAGTGCAGTGGTACGATTATGACGCACTGCAGCCTCGACCTCCTGGTCTCAAGTGAGCCTCCCACCTCAGCCCCAGAGTAGCTGGAACTACAGGCATGCACCACCATGCCTAGATAATTTTATTTAAATTGTATTTCCCAGGATTAAAATCTCTATTTTTATTAGCCATCTCTGAATAAAACATCCTTTGCTGTCACCCAATTCCCTTTGTTTTGGACACCATGATCATAAGTAACTGTATTCGTATGAAGCTTTTCCAGATATAATACAAAATAAAACATGGATTTTTACACCATCTCTAGTGGGTTTCATTAGCAAGTGCCACTTCCTAAGGGCATGAGCTCCTCTTAGAACACTGACACAATTCCATTTCTGGATGAAAAATTCTGAAGGACGTACCATGGTTTCTGGAGACAGCACCAAACACTGCAGCCATAAATGGCCTTGCCAGAGCAGCAACAAGTCCCCCATAGTAACCCATTCTCTTTGGAAGTGCAATGGTATTCTTGCTTTCTTCACTATAAATATACATCTGTACTGTCAAATCTCATGCAACAATAGTATATTTTTATTGCTTTCAACAAAAATGTAATGACAAAAAAACTATAGGAAGGAATTTTTGGCTTTCAGATATAAATATGGATGGTGCATATAAACACTTCATTTGAAAGAGAAAAAAAGCAAAACCTCTAAAATCAATAAAACCTTTTGCAAAATTTTTGCATTTTTCTTAAATTGATGTGAAATTCTCATGCAACAGTACAGAGACTTTAAGAGTACCATGCAATGATTGTACGTACACTCTTGTAACCATCTGACAATAAAGATATAAACCATTTTGTTCATTCCAGAAGATTCTCTCATGCCCACCTTCTAGTCAGTTTCTCTACTCCATACATAGAGGTCATTACTGTTCTAGTTTTTTTCTCCATAGCTTAGCTGTGTGTATCCCAGAACTTCATACATATAGATTTTATAAGCATGTTCTCTTTTGTATTGGATTCTTTTGCTCTAATGTTTCCAGTCATCATCCACGTTGTTGGGTGCATCAATAGGTCATTGTTTTATTGCTAAGTAACCTACACCAAAGTTAGTTTATTCATTAAAATATTGATGGACATTTGAGTTATTTCTAGTTCATGATCATTTAAATAAAGTTTCTCTTTGTGGGCATATGTTTTCATTTTTCATGGGTAAATGCTAAGATTGGAATTACTGGATATGTGTATGTTTCACGATATCTCATTGTGGTTTTACACTATGAGTAATGAAGTCTTTTCAGAATTTCTCTTGTGCAGTGTCTGTTCAAGTATTTGATTGTTGATTATATTGAGTTGTGTCTTCTTATTTATTTTTAGAAGTTAATGATAAATCCTGACTACAATATGTATGTACATATATACATACACACACACACACACACACATATATATATATGAAAAGGCAATTCATGGAATGGAAGAATATATTTACCATATATTGTGTGTCTTGAAGAGCTGAAATTTTAAATTTTGATAAAGTCTTTTATGGTTAGTGCTTTTTATATTCTAAGAAAATTTTGCTTACCTGTGTTCATAAAATTTCTGCTGTGCTCTCTTCTAACTGCAATCTCCACCTCATGGGTTCGAGCGTTTCTCCTGCCTCAACCTCCCGAGTAGCTGGGATTACAGGTGCGCACTACTACACCCAGCTAATTTTTGTATTTTTAGTAGAGACAGGGTTTCACCATGTTGGCCAGGATGGTCTCGATCTCCTGACCTCATGATCTGCCCGCCTTGGCCTCCCAAAGTGCTGGGATTACAGGCGTAAGCCACCATGCCTGGCCAAGGCTTCATATTTTTAACCTTCAGTGTTTGGTCTGTGATCAATGTCTAGTTATTTTTTGTGCATGATAGGAGATAAGGGTCAATACTTATTTTGTCCTATATGGTTATCAAGGTGTTCCAATGCTATTTATTGAAAAAGCTATAGTTTGCCCCTGGAACTACCTTGACATTTTTGTCAAAATCAATTGATCATAAATATGAGAGCCTATCATTGAATTCATCTCTTTCATTGACACACTTATTATCATTGTGCCAACTCCATATTGCTGCTAACTGTAATATAACTTACATGTGAAAAAAATCTTGAAATTATATTTTGAATTTTCATTCAAATTTGAGGCATGAAATTGCCCTAGTTTTATAGAAAGAAGTGTAAAGATGCATCTGTATTTTGAGTCCCATGCATGATCTGTATATCCGACAAATAATGGAAGGAAAGAAGAGAGTAAAAACAGTGAATATGAGGGGCTCACAGGACCAAGAGGAAATACAAACTAGCTACCTCTTTCCTAATGCTAGTGAGTCACTAAAGCATTAGTCAATTAATTGTCTTGATATAAGTCATCAATAGTCTTCAGAAAACTTCTCTGGGGAGCAGCTTTTATATTTTAATGCAGAAACCAAAAGTGGAAATCAAAATTAGGTGAGGACAATAGTGTTTTCTCATAATATGTAGTATATAACAAATGTAACATAAACTTTTTGATATGAAGAAGATTTTCATTTACCATTGTAAAAAATTTGTGATATCTTCATAGTTTCCATCTTTTTAGGTTGTTTTCCTTGTGACTCAAATGAGGAAGAATAAACTTGGTTTAGGACTATTCAATGCCAGTGTTTTCAGATGGTGAGTAATTGTAATTATCAAGGACTCTGGAGTCCTGGTTTAAGGGGATATTGAGTGAACTTCTGAGTGAGAATCATGAACCTTTTCAGCATTTTGGTTTTAAAATATTACAAGTAAATGCCTTTTCTTGAGAAAGCATTCCGCAGAAGGTATTTATGTATTTTTTCCAGGTGAATTAAGCTCTAGTTTGAATGACTATGAGCCTGCCTCTGCTAGACATCAATTCCTACTTCATAGTTCTTCTCTTTTTGTTCTTTTGTGGTTTATTTAATTTTTTAAACTTTATTTTTAATGATAAATAATAATGAGCTATATTTATGGGGTATAATGTGATGATTAGATATGGGTTTACAATGTGGAAAGATTAAATCTGGCTAATTAACAAATTAATCACTTCACAAACATTACTTTTTTATAGTGAAAACATTTAAAGTCTACTCTTTCAGCAATTTTGAAATATGCAGCATATTATTATTTATAGTAATCACCATTCTGTAAAATAGATCACCAAAGCTTATTCCTCCTCACTAACTGAAACTTTGTACCCTTTAATAAACATCTTCCCCTTCCTCATTGATTCTTCTCCCCCAGCCTCTGGTAACCATCATTATACTCCCTATTTGTGTGAGTTCAACTTTTTTAGATTTCACATATGAGAAAGATCATGCAGTATTTGTCTTTCTGTGCCTGGCCTATTTCACCTCCGGGTTCATCTATGTTATCCCAAAAGACAGGGTTTTCCCCCTTTCCAATGCTAACTAGTATTCCATTGTGTATATATGCTACATTTTCTTTATCCATTCATTTGATGATAGACACCTAGGTTGCATCCATATCTTAGCTATTGTGAATAACATTGCAATGACCACAGGAGTTCAGTTATCTCTTTGGCATACTGATTTGATGTATATTCCTTTGGATAAACACCCAGTAGCAGGATTACTGGATTGTGCAGTAATTCTATTTGTAGTTGGCTGAGGAGCCTTCATCCTATGGCTTTGTTCATTTACATTCCCACCGACAGTATACAAGGGTTCCCTTTTCTCCATACCATTGCCAACCCTTGTTACATTTCATTTTTTAATTAATGCCCATTCTAACAGATGTGGTTTTAACTTGCTTTTCCCTGATGGTCAATGATAATGAGCATTTTTTTATACCTCTGGCTTTTTTTGTTTTATGAATGCACTTTTTTTTGATATTTATTTATTTTCTTTATTTTTGCATGTTTTGGGGTACAGGTGGTATTTGGTTACATGAGTAAGTTCTTTAGTGGTGATTTGTGAGATTTTGGTGCACCCATCACCCAAGCAGTATACACTGCACCATATTATTTAGTCTTTTATCCATCGCCCCCCCCACCCTTCTCCCCAAGTCCCCAAAGTCCATTGTATCATTCTTATGCCTTTGCGTCCTCATAGCTCAACACCCACACATCAGTGAGAACAAACAATGTTTGGTTTTCCATTCCTGAGTTACTTCACTTAGAATAATAGTATCCAATCTTATCCGGGTCGATGCAAATGCTGTTAATTCATTCCTTTTTATGGCTGATTAGTATTCCAATATATAAATATAACACAGTTTCTTTATCCACTCGTCGATTAATGGGCATTTGGGTTGGTTCCACAATTTTGCAATTGTGAATTGTGCTGCTATAAACATGCTTCTGCAAGTATCTTTTTTATATAATGACTTCTTTTTCTCTGGGTAGATACCCAGTAGTGGGATGGCTGGATCAAATGGTAGTTCTACTTTTAGCACTTTAAGGAATCTCCACACTGTTTTCCTTAGTGGTTGTACTAGTTTACATTCCCACCAGCAGTGTAGAAGTGTTCCCTGTTCACCACATCCATGCCAACATCTACTGTTTTTTGATTTTTTGATTTTGGCCGTTCTTGCAGGAGTGAGATGGTATCACATTGTGGTTTTGATTTGCATCTCCCTAATCATTAGTGATGTTGATTATTTTTCCATATGTTTGTTGGCCATTTGTATATCTTCTTTTGAGAATTGTCTATTCATGTCCTTAGCCCACTTTTTGATGGGATTGTTTGTTTTTTTCTTACTGATTTGTTTAAGTTCATTGTAGATTCTGGATATTAGTCATTTGTCAGACGTACAGATTGTGAAGATTTTCTCCCACTCTGTAGATCTGTTTCCTCTGCTGACTGTTCTTTTTGCTGTGCAAAAGCTCTTTAGTTTAATTAAGTCCCAACTATTTATCTTTGTTTTTATTGCATTTGCTTTTGGGTTCTTGGTCATGAAGTCCTTGCCTAAGCCAATGTCTAGAAGGGTTTTTCCAATGTTATCTTCTAGAACTTTTACAGTTTTAGGTCTTAGGTTTAAGTCCTTAATCCATCTTGAGTTGATTTTTGTATAAGGTTAGAGATGGGGATCCAGTTTCATTCTCCTACAGTGTCTTGCCAATTATCCCAGCACCATTTGTTGAATAGGGTGTCCTTTCCCCACTTCATGTTTTTGTTTGCTTTGTCAAAGATCACTTGGCTGTAAGTATTTGGCTTTATTTCTATGTTCTCTATTCTGCTCCATTGGTCTATATGCCTATTTTTATACCAATACCATGCTGTTTTGGTGACAAAGGCCTTATAGTATAGTTTGAAATCAGGTAGTGTGATGCCTCCAGATTTCTTTTTGCTTAGTATTGCCTTGGCTATTTGGGGTTTTTTTTTTTGGTTTCATATGAATTTAACAATTTTTTTTTCTAATTCTGTGAAAAATGATGGCTGTATTTTGATGGGGATTGCACTGAACTTATATACTGCTTTTGGCAGTATGGTCATTTTCACAATATTGATTCCACCCATCTATGAGCATGGGATGTGTTTCCATTTGTTTGTGTCATCTATGATTTCTTTCAGCAGTGTTTTGTAGTTTTCCTTGTAGAGGTCTTTAGCCTTGTTGGTTAGGTATATTCCTAAATATTTTATTAATTTTTTTTTTGCAGCTATTGTAAAAGGGGTTGAGTTCTTGATTTGATTCTCCATTTGGTCACTGCTGGTGTATAGAATAGCTACTAATTTGTGTACATTAATCTTGTATTTAGAAACTGCTGAATTTTTTAATCAGTTCTAGGAGTTTTCTGGAGGAGTCCTTGGGGTTTTCAAGGTAAACGATCATATCGTCAGCAAACAGTGACAGTTTGACTTCCTCTTCACTGATTTGGATGCCCTTATTTCTTTCTCTTGTCCAATTGCTCTGGCTAGGACTTCCAGTACTATGTTGAATAAGAGTGGTGAGAATGGGCATCCTTGTCTTGTTCCCAGTTCTCAGAGGGAATGCTTTCGACTTTTCCCTATTCGGTATTATGTTGGCTGTGGGTTTGTCGTAGATGGCTTTTATTACATTGAGGTGTGTCCCTTGTATGCTGATTTTGCTGACAGATTTAATCATAAAGGATGCTGGATTTTGTTGAATGCTTTTTCTGCATCTATTGAGATGATCATGTGATTTTTATTTTTAATTATGTTTATGTGGTGTATTACATTTATTGACTTGTGTATGTTAAACCATCCCTGCATCCCTGGTATGAAACCCACTTCCCACTTGATCAGAGTGGATTATCTTTCTGATATGTTGTTGTATTTGGTTAGCTAGTATTTTATTAAGGATTTTAGCATCTAGGTTCATCAAGAATATTGGTCTGTAGTTTTCTTTTTTGGTTATGTCCTTTCCTGGTTTTGGTTTTTGGGTGATGCTGGCTTCATAGAAATAATTAGGGAGGGTTCTTTCTTTCCCTATCTTGTGGAATAGCGTCAAAAGGATTGGTACCAATTCTTCTTTGAATGTCTGGTAGAATTCTGCTGTGAATCTGTCTGGTACTGGACTTTTTTTGTTGGTAATTTTTAAGTTACGATTTCAATCTCCCTGCTTGTTATTGATCCGTTCAGGAGTACCTAATTCTTCCTAATTTAAACTAGGAGGGTTGTATTTTTCCAGGAGTTTATCCATCTCTTCTAGGTTTTCTGATTTATGTGGGTAAAGGTGTTCATAGTTGCCTTGAATGATCTTTTGTATTTCAGTGGTGTCAGTTGTAATACCTACTGTTTCATTTCTTAATGAGGTTATTTGGATTTTCTCTCTTCTTTTCTTGGTTAATCTTGCTAATAGTCTATTAATTTTATTTATCTTTTCTAAAAACCAGCTTTTTGTTTCATTTATCTGTCGTATTTTTTTTGTTTTAATTTCATTTACTTCTGCTCTGATCTTGGTTATTTCCTTTCTTCTGCTGGGTTTATTTAGGTTTGGTTTGTTCTTATTTCTCTAGTTCCTTGAAGTGTGACCTTAGCATGTCAGTTTGTGCTCTTTCAGTCTTTTTGATGTAGGTGTTTAGGGCCATGAACTTTCCTGTTAGCACCGTCTTTGCTGCCTCCCAGAGGTTTGGATAGGTTGTGTCATTATTGTTCAGTTCAAAGAATTTTTTAATTTCCATCTTGATCTTGTTTTTGACTGAATGCTCATTCAGGAGCAGGTTATTTAATTCCCATATATTTGCATCGTTTTGAAAGTTCCTTTTGGAGTTCATTTCTAGTTTTATTCCACTGTGGTCTGAGAGAGTGCTTAATATAATTCAAATTTCTCAAATTTATGGAGAGTCATTTTATGGGCTATCATATGGTCTATCTAGGAGAAAGTTCCATGCACTGTTTAATAGAATGTGTATTCTGTGGTTGTTGGATGAATTGTTCTGTATATATCTGTTAAGTCCATTTTTTCCAAGGTATAGTTTAAATCTATTGTTTCTTTGTTGACTTTCTGTCTTAATAACCTGTCTAGTGCTGTCAGTGGATTACTGAAGTCCCCCACTATTATTGTGTTGTTATTTCATTTCTTAGGTCCTATTAGTAATTGTTTTATAAATCTGGGGGCTCCAGTGTTAGGTGCATATACGTTTACGATTGTGATATTTTCCTGTTGGATAAGGCCTTTTACCATTATGTACTATCCCTCTTTGTTGCTTTTAACTGCTGTTGCTTTAAAGTTTCTTTTGTCTGATGTAAGAATAGCTACGCTTGCTGGCTTTTGGTGTCCATTTGCATGAAATACCTCTTTTCACCCCTCTACTTTAAATTTATGTGAGTCCTTAAGTGTTAGGTGAGTCCCCTGAAGGCAGCAGATAGTTGGTTGGTGAGTTCTTATCCATTCCACAGTTCTGTATCTTTTAAGTGGAACATTTAGACCATTTACATTCAATGTTAGTATTGAGATGTGAGGTACCATTGCATTCATCATGCTATTTCTTGCCTAGGTGTCTTGTTTTTTTTTGTTTTTGTTTTTTTCTGTTTTTGAATAGAAGCGGTGAGAGTAGATAACCCATCCCAAATCCCCTCACGGGCTGCTGCTTGTCCTGTAGATGGAGAGCCGGAGCATGGACCTGCCTGACCCAGACCCCACCCGGCTTTGCCTTCCTTCCACCCTAGTAGCTTAACACAAAAGACAGAAACTTTTGGGAATTGATGGCCCTGTCCATCACCCCAGAAAACAGAGTACCCCTCTGGGTAGCATAAGGCAAGCACAAGTCCCACCATGGCTACTGCAGCTGGTGTTCTTTTGCAAGTCCCACTTTCTGGATGGAAGCCAACCAACATAGTCCGTTACAGCATCTCTAGGTAGAATAACACCACACTCAGGAAGGAGAAAACTTGTGTGTAACCTCAGCCATCACCATTGCCTGCAGCACTGTGGCTAACTAGGAAGTCCTCAGTGTGTCCATGTGACCAGATCTTTACTATAATCAGCATCTGAGAAAGCCAACACACTAAGGCTGGTTATAACCAAGGAATATCACAGAGCCTACATCACTCCCCTACCACCTCTATCAGAGCTGGTGCTGGTACCCACTACTGGGACACTTGAGGACAGGTCACATCACTGGATCCCCAGCAGACATTCTTCAGCACCAGCCTGGAGTGTGGCAGCCCCACTGTGTGGCTAGATCCAGAGGAGGAGCAGCATTCACAGTAGGCTGGCTCTCAGGGACTCTCACTCCTAGGGGAAGGGGGAATGCACCATATCAAAGAAACATCCTCTGGGGAAAAAAGAATCCAGACAGCAGGCCTTGAGTCCCAGAATTTTCCACAATTGGGAAGTTTATTTCAGCAGAGGCATAGGTGCAGTGCTGGGCTCTGTGGCAAAGTCTGCAGCTCTACCCCAAGTCAGGTAGGCTTGGACTCAAGGGATCTTGGAGAAGAGGACTTCTCTTCCCTCTTATCCACCACTGCAGACACAGCTGTAGTTTCTCCCATGGGATCTCAGCATGGGTGCACCTATAGACAGCCTTTCTGGAACATTTCAGGGTGACTGCAGGTCCACAAAAGTGATGTTCCAAGTAGAGAGGAATTGTCACTCTACCCTTTGTTCAAGCTTGCACAAGGGGCAGAGTCACAATTCCTTTCTATTGGAACATCAACATTCCTGCAAATGAAAAGAGGTGCCTGTCCGATCTGAATTGCTGAAGCACTGGGTCAGGAGTGTGTCTTGGAAGTAGATCACTTTGTTGCTCGGCTGGCAGGGGAGCTGAGATGACTCCCACCGTTCCCCCTCATAAGACTTCAGTGTGTTTCATTGAGAGCTCCCCCAGCCACCTCTGTCAAGGCTTGGACCTCTGTCCACCATTGGGTATTGCAATTTCCCATCTGCTTTAGCCACATCTGGTCTCTACCCAAGGACACCTTCCCTACTGACCCAAAGACTGAACTAATAATCAATAAATAAGTGCACACCACAGGGTAATAAGATAATCTTCAAGTGATCTCTGCCATTCCAACCTTGGAGGAGACCATTAAATTGCTCACACACTGAGCACATTGCTACCACAACCAGCATCTGAGAAAGCCAACATACGAAGACTCTCTATAACCAAGGGACCCATACAGAGTCTTCACCCCTGAACGCATCAAGAGTCAAATTAGGCTACAATAAACTAAAACCATTAAAATCACATCCTTAAGCAAGAAGGAAGGAAATTAAACAAAAAACACAGTTAAATAAAAAATGAATGCAAGAATATTTAGAACAAATAGTCTACCAAAATGAAAAGAAACCAGAAAAACAATTCTGATAATATGACAAAACAGGGCTCTATAATATCCCCAAAAGATACACTAAGTCCCCAGTAATAGATGCAAACCAAGAGGAAATCTTTGAAATACTAGATAAAGAATTCAAAACGTTTATTATTAGGTTACTTAAAGAGATGCCAGAGAAAGGTGAGAACCAACATGAAGAAATTTAAAAAGCAATTCAGGATATGAATGAAACCTTTCCTAAAGAGATAGATATTTTAAAGAAAAACCAATCAGAACTTGTGGAAATGAAAGACACATTTAGGGAATTACAAAATGTAGTGGAAAGTAGTAATAATAGACTAGACCAAGTAGAAGAAAGAATTTCAGAGCTCAAAGACAAGGCTTTCAAATTAACCCAATAATACAAACATAAAGAAAAAAGAATGAAAAAACAAGCAAAATCTCCAAGAAATATTACATTATTTGAAATGTCCGAATGTAAGAATAATTGATGTTCCTAAAGAAGAAAAGAAAGCACGATATTTGAAAAGTTATTTGAGGGAATAATTGAGGAAAACTTCCCTGGCCTTGATAGAGATTTAGATATCCAAATACAAGAAGTTTAAAGAACTCTTGGGAGAATCATTGCATAAAGGACATTTCCAAGGCATATAATCTTCAAGCTATCTAAAGCCAACATGAAGGACAGTATTCTAAGAGCAATGAGACAAAAGCTTCTGGTAACCTATAAAGAAAAACCTATCAGACAAAGAGCAGACTTTGCAGCAGAAACCTTACAAGCCAGAAGGAATGGGGTCTTACCTTTAATCTCCTTAAACAGAAAAACTGTCAGTCAAGAATTTTGATTCCAGCACAATTAAGTTTCATAAATGAAGGAGAAATAACAACAACAACAACAAAAATGCAGAAGGAATTTGTTAGTACAAGACCAGCCCTATGAGAAATGTTAAAAGGAGTTCTAAATCTTGAAAAAAAGTTTGATATGCACCAGAATAGAACCTCTTGAAAGCATACAATTTGCAGACCGTATAAAACAATAACACAACAAAGAAAACAAAGTACCTAGGTAACAAGGTGATGACTGGAACAAAACCTTACATTTCAATATTAATGTTGAACATCAGTGGCCTAAATGCTCCACTTAAAAGATGTAGATTGGCAAAATGAATAAAAATCATAAACCAAATACCTGCTATCTTCAAGAGACTCACCTAACATGTAAAGTTTCATATAAACTCAAGGTAAAGGGTGAAAAATATATTCTGTGCAAATGGAAACCAAAAGCAAGCAGGAATATCTATTCTTATATCAGATAAAATACACTTTAAAGTAACAACAGTAGAAAAACGAAAGGTCACTGCATGATAAGAAAAGAATCAATTCAACAAGAAGATATTAGAATCCTAAATTTATATGCACCTAACTCTGGAGTGCCCAGATTCATAAAACATTTACTGCTAGACCTCAGAAATTGGATAGACAGCCACACAATAGTAGCAGGGGACTCCAACACACCACTGACAGCACCAGACGGATCATCGAGACTGAAAGTCAACAAAGAAACTATGAATTTAAACTACGCTCTGGAACAAATGGACCTAACAGATATTTACAGAGCATTCTATCCAAGAACTGCAGAAAATCATACAGGATGTGAGGTGAGCATGCCCTGGTCTTTCTCTCTAGGTAAATTAGGAAAAACAAAACAAAAAAAACCTGGCGCATAGTCTCCCCAAAATCTGACCTTTGGTAAACTACGTTTCTGATGCTGCCTTAACAGATTATCACAAACTTGGTGGCTTCAAGCAGCAGAAATTTATTCTCTCAAAGTTCTAGAGGCCAGCAGTTCAAAATCAAGATGTCAGCAGGGCTGAGCTCCTTCTGGAGATTCTAGGGGAGAATTCTTCCTTGCATATTCCAGCTTCTGGTGGCTCCAGGTTCTCTTGGCTTCTGGCTGCATAATTCCAGTCTCTCCCACTATTGTCACATGGCTTTCTTTTCTCTGTCTGTGTCCTCTCCTGTTCTTATAAATGCAACTGCCATTGGATTTCCCTGCACCCACCCCACATTCCGGGATGATCTCATCGGAAGATCTTTAAAGTAATCCTATCTTCAAAGACCCTTAGTTCATATAAGGTCACATTCATAGGTTTCAAGTGGACATGACTTTGGGAGTTGGAAGTGAGGGGGGCCAGGCAGTGTTGCATAACTCAACCCATTATGGGAAATAGAGCTCCTCTCTACAGAAATATGGTAGAATAGGGAATGAGTTTTTCTGCAAGTTTGGGGCAATCAAACCCTACTGACTGAAGACAGAGTTTACATTTTTCCTTGTCCCCAAACACAATAAAATGTGGGCATTCAAATGTTCTTACTGGGTCTCCATATCTTTAATACTTCTGCCAGGGGAGAGAAATAAACTGAGTCAAACTAGTATCAACAGAATAATGTAATTGTCTGGATATTGTCATTAAGGAATAGAGAGGAGCCAAAAAGTTGCTTACGTTTCTTGCTTGAGAAACACAGTTCACCAAGGCCTGAGTATATTGCAGAAGGCACATCGTTGTAGGGCTTTGTGTATTAAAGAGCAGAATTTAGGAATGGTATTCATGAACTTACAAATTCATTGAAAAATCAAATTGATTCTACAATTAAAATAATTTCCATTTAGCTAAATAATTAAAACTTTAATACTGTATACTTACAGCCTTCCTCTAAGTGGTTCTCAACTATTGGGTAATTTTACCTCCAGAGGACGTTTAGCAATGTTTGGAGACACTTTTATTTGCCATGACTGGGTAGGACGTGCTACTGGCATCTGGTAGGTAAAGGTTGAGGGCGCTGCTAAGCATAGTTCAATGCATGGGCAGCCCCCATATAGAAGAATGATCTGCTGCAATATGTTAGTAGTGCTGAGGTTAAAAAGCCCCCATCAAAGCTTTGCTGTGAGACACAGATATTTCACATTTGCAGTAGTTAAATCTTGCATTAAACCTCTACTTTCCTCTAGGACAAAGTCATTCATTCTTTCTTTTAGTCAGTTACTTAGAAATTAAATATTTACTGAGTGTTGAATATGGTGCCAGGTGTGATTCCAGGAGCACCAGTGAACAAGAGAGATCAAAATATTGTTGTGGCAGGAACAACATAGTAAAACATTAAGGAGGTTCAAAAAGCGAATGCATACATGTATGTGTGTATATTAACACATATAGCATATATAAGTATATATATCTCTATATATATGCTAGTGTACACTCACATACATATATCCTTGTACACACTTATCTATCTACCTTATTTTCTCTGTGGCTTCTCAGATTAGCTGTTCACATCCCCTTTTTATTACTGCAATACATATAGGAGATGAAGTTCCCCTTGTAATGCACCCAGGTGGGTAAAGCTAAATTCCAGGACACTTTGTTTCCAGAAACAAAATAAAGGTTAAGGTAGGTGCCAGTTTGCAGCATGCTAGCTCTACCCAATTGAGAATGTCTTTTTAAGAGACACTGCTCTGAAACCATTTTAATGGAAGGAACTCTTTAATTTGTAATCTGAATATTTTATGAGTTGTGACAAATTAGTCCCAATATATCTTACAAATGAGCATAATACATCAGAATGTCCCAAAGCCATGACTGAGATCTGCTGAGGTAAAACACAAGATTTCTCAAATTCTTTTGAGTCAAATTTGTAAGTAGCTGAGGTACAGATGTTGCAGCCAACTCTGATCAGCCTGCCTACAGATGTGGGGCTTTGCTCTGGAGTATCTGGTACTCCTTCTGATGCTACTCTGAGTATTAGAAACAAACAGAACAAGCAAGCAAACAGAAACACCTGGAGAGCTATGTCCCATAGAGGTAATTTAATAACATGATTCTCATTCACTGTGTGCATTTCTATGGAAATCTCAATCTTGCAAAATCTAGAGCTAATGATCTCAATTATTTTTTTTTCCACATCCATTATTAGGCATGGAGTCATGGATGAGTAAAATAGCTTTCCTTGGAATTCACTCTTTTTATATTTTGTTTCCTGCAAAATAAATTTTTATCTTCCTCCTTCATTTTTCTTCCTACCTTAGCCAGTAAGCTCCATTTCTCTAAACTTCCAAAGATCACCTTGAAGGAAAAAAATATGGAATGTGTCAACAGGCGTATTGTAAAGGTTAGGTGATTACATGCTATGGTTTACTCAGATACATTATACATGGGTTATCTGCTCGCTAAACTCCCAAGAGGGTGTAGAAAACTGAATAGGAAATCTTGCAGACTTTTTTATTCCTATAAATTTTTCTTTCTGTTTCAATTTGTGATAAAATAATGTGAGAAAACCCTTATTTATTTTTTTTATCAAGTAGTCAGTGACTCTCAGTAATTCTTAATGACAAATAAAAGAAATTGAGGGAAGGATAAAAATCCACAGATGTAAAGATTATTTGGTTAATAACAATCTAAATAATTCTTAATTATCTCATAAGCTAAGCTCAAGTGGATATTTTAATGTATTTTATGTTTCATTTGAACTAGTTTGCTTATATATAAGATATTTATATGGTAATTTATATACATATAAATCATTGTTGAATTTACAGTTATCCATTTAAATTATGCCACATTAAATAATGTTTACTTATGCTTGTATGCAATTTTTCCAGTGGTATTATTTTCTGAGGTTGAGTTATCACCATATACAATTTGCAAGAGAGGTGTATACAGATATGCTTAATATGTAAAAATATTTAAGTATACAAATAATTACTATGCCTACACTTATCATAGTATAACTTACAAACTGATAAAAAGAAAAAAAATGAAGCAAGTAACTGACAACGTATTTGGCAAACTTTTAAATGATAATGTTAGATAAAATATTTCCATGTATATGGAACTCTGTGAAACAATAATTATAAACATATGAGTTTTTTATTATATGAAAAGCCAGCTGGTTATGTATACAGTATAAATATAATTTTATATTATAAATATGGAGTCTGGCTTATTTAATAAAAGATCTATTTGTTGTTTATTTCCTTCTTTTTGTTTGACTTTAATTTTAACTGAAGCTGTTATTTACAGATTCATCTGCATTACCTTGTGTTTAAATTTTCAATTACTCCATTGTTTTTCACATTGACTGCTATATGTACATGACATCTTGAGTTTTCTACAGTTAGGAAGTGTCTGTAATTATAAGTAAATTTTTTTCTCATTACAAATATAATACACATTCTACTTTATACATTCTTAATGTATATGAATGTATATAAGATATATATGAATGTATATAAGAATGGAAGATTTTCTATTCAGTTTTCTACACCCTCTTGGGAGTTAATGAGCAGATAACCCATGTACAACGGTATCTGAGTAAACCATAGCACGTAATCACCCAACCTTTACAATACGCCTGTTGACACATTGCATATTTTTTTCCTTCAAGGTGATCTTTGGAAATTTAGAAAAATGAAGCTTACTGGCTAGGTAGGAAGAAAAATAAAAGATGAAGAGAAGGAATAGAATACATATTCTATTTTATACTCAGTATAACCTTTTTCCTTATTGCATAAAAAATGGTTTGCTTTGTATTCTCCCTAATGCAGACCAATATGGTATTTTTTATAACACGTATTTTAAACAAATTATAAAAATCTAGACATGGCTTCAGTAAAATTACCTCCCGACTAGTTTAGTGTGATCATCATTCAGATATATGATTGACCAGATCATACTGTTTGATAAAGTCATCATGATAAATAATACACACAAAGACAATTAGTTTTTTTCAGTAACTACAAAAAAGGGAAAAATGTAATGATTAATTTTCAATACAGTATACAGATTGAAATTCAGTTATAATTAACTACCAAATAGTGTGTTTCTGTGCACACACACACACACACACACACACCCGGGTTGCAGGAGAGGGTGGTTAATCAGTAAGAGAATGGAGTTGGCATGTATTCCTCACAGCAGGAGGAAAAGAAGCAATGGCCCCTTAAATTAAAATTATGTAAACCTAAAAGTAAATTGGAGCCTGTGGGGTTTTGGAATTTACTTTGAAATAATTCGTTTCTAATACCTTGTCTTCAAAACTGAGTTGGAGAAATTAAAACAGGAAGCTAGTATTATATAATCGTTTTGTCTATCAGAATTTGAAACAGGAAATTTCAGATAATTTAATAAACATAAAATGGAATGATAAAAGGAACTCAATTATGAGAACGAACTCTCTCAACCATCAGCAAGGAATACCAAGATAATTGAATAATTCCAAAGAGTATGAATGGCAAACTTTAAATAGCAAATCATTTAATGGTACTTCAGAATGATTGAAAAATAAAGAGAAATTGAGGAGAAGGTTATTTGACTGTTTACAAAACTATAAAGTTAACTTCTGGGAAAGATAATTTACGAGAATGTAAAAATATAGATGTTCTGCTTCAGTGAATATGAAGAGCAAAAACACAATAAGTAGATAGCTAATGATGGATTTGTTCTGGTCACTGAAGTCACTCTGGTTAATCTCCAACTAAATTGCTCATTTCCATTTTGCTTTGCTCTGCTTCCTTGCCTACTTCTCTTCACCAAACCTATGTAAAACAACTAATCTTATGATCCCTATGATTTTTATTTGTCCACTTTTGAACTTTTTCCTATTTATATTTTGCCTGTCAAATTCCATCTACTTATGGAAATATGCTACCTTCTATTTCCATGCATTTTCTCGTGTGTTTCAGCTCTTCCTTAAATATGTAAACATTTTATCAAAGGCAACTATGTACATGACATAATTCTATTTTATACTTTTCCCCCTTAAGTTGAAGTATCAGGATATTTCCTTACATAATCCAGAAATTCTATTCCTTGTCTTTTTTGGGAAAAACACACAGACAAAAAAATCCTAAACTTTTCTCATTTGCACATTCAATGATTGATTAAATTCTATTTTAATCAAAAGCCCTTTGAGGGCTTTCACTGTAACACCATGAATTGATTCACAACCAACCTAAGAATAAGAGATCTTTGATATTATAGAGGGATTAGCAGGCACACTGAGACACATTGCCCCAGACCAATTAAGAATAGCAGTTACAGCATGCTGACTACCTCTGCCTGCCAGCACCTCAGCCTGCCTAATCCCATAAGATCAGGGCAATCTGATTGCTTTCAATTCATTGCTCTGACACAGTTGATTAACACATAATTTTGTTCTATTTATCAACCCAAATCTTTGTTCTTCATTGTAAAGCCCCATATTTAATTATGAGCTAGTTACTTAAAAAGGTGAAGCATACTAAATTATCCACAGGTTTTTTTATGAAGTAGTTGATTAAAATAATTTCAAGCTTATATCACTCCCACTGTCTTGTGGACAGCTGAAATTCAATAAACTATCTAATTCTAATTATAAACATCAAAATGCACTTGGCCAACTTTTCTCTAATAGTTTTATGTAAATGTCCTCATCTTCAGATTGGCAAGACTGTAGTCATGCACACGTCATTAATCACATTCCAATTATGTAATTGAAATATAATTTTAAGTGATTTTTCTTCTTTACCTTTATTCCATGACTGGCTTGTTCCCCTTCTTAATGAACAAAAAAATTGATCTAATGTCAACATGAAACTCCATCAGATGCCCAGTGAGCTTTAGGCTAATAGTACTCTTCTCTCTGTCATCAGTTGACTGTTGCCTTTCCCTTAAGAATCCTTCACATGTCCCCATTGCACTGTGGATACTATCATAGATCTTCCTATAGATTTCTTCTTAATTGATGCTCTTCAAGATACTATATGTACTCTAATACTCTTTTCATCTTCTATATCTTATACTCATTATTACTTATTCTGAATACATTTGTTTTACTTCTTACAGTGTCTTTTGGTAATGTTTATCTGTGATCCAAAGACAGTTGTGTGTGTGTGTGTGTGTGTGTGTGTGTGTGTGGCGTTGGGGGCTGGGGGGAGGTATGGTTCAGTGGCAGATGAATATCATTCACCCATCCATCTTTAATTATATGTATCAAAGTAATTTAAGCACTTTAGACATTGCTTTTAGTGGAACACTTGAAAGCAGTTATTTTATTTTATTGAAGAAATTTCATTTAATTATTAATTTTTCTAATCCAAATGCTACCAAACTAAAGAAATGTTACTGGAGATAAGACTAGTTTTAAATGAAAACTCTCTTGGTAATGAAATAAAGGAGATGATAATATTTACACAAACTGCTTAATGTCGTTCCTAATACTGAAAACTCTAGGAACAATTTGATAATAAATTAACCTAACATGTAATTAATAGCAGTGAACCTCTTTGACAGTATTTCCTAAGGCACTAAAAAAATCAATATACGTAAAAATGATTATATTGGGAAGGCTACCATTATGTATATCACACTAAATATTATAAGGAAAAACACAGAGGTATTGTTGAAAGACATACTGAAAATTTATATAAGGCCAAAAGAATGTGATTTTTCAAGAAAAGAAAAAACTTCATTCAAATTCCCACTTTGTTATTTGTCATTCTCAGTCATTTTATTTTGAGCTTCCTGAATTTCCTCATATGTTAGTTGGAGATAAAAATATCTAAAAAACTGTAACTTCAGTTGTGTGAAAATTAAATGAATTAAGCTGCATAAAATCCCTTTGGAAAATTAAGATGATATGAATATATTAGTTATAATCAAGTTTGTATGTTGATATTTAATGAGTGCTTCCTGCATTCATTTTATTTATTTTCCATCACAATTGCATAACAGAATCTATGATATTCCATAATAAAATATTATAAAGACAGAGAAATGTGCGTATATTAGTATAGCAATTCCGGTTTATTCTCTCATGTATCCATCTGTCTTTCCATCCATCTATATACTCATTAATCAAAGCAATCATGAAGTCATCTATGTTTTCATCCAGTTGGTGTTTATTGAGCACTTACTCTATGCAAAGTTCTGATGACAAAAAACTATGAATATGATTTTCTCTCTACCTTCAAAACTAGTCATGGACCCATTTTTATAGAACAAGGATATTATAAGACAATAAATGACCGGTGGAAAGTTTTAGCAGAGGTGTAACAGAGCTATTTTCTGTTTGTTTGTTTTGTTTGTTTTGTTTTTGGAAGCAAGTAGAGGATGGGCTGAGTGAGAGGACAGACACAGCACTCAAAGTTTGGAGACGTTATCAGTAATGAGTCAGTGTAGCATAGAAACTATTCTAGGTATTTTAATCAAGAAGGGAATTAGTACAGAAAATAAGGGCTTACAATAACGTTGGAAATTGGCTAATGGGGCTTGTTCTAGGCAAGGCTACCACAAATGATTTCCAAAATAATAGAACTTTAAGATTGCCTCTAGCCCACATTGTCCTTGATTGACAGCAACACTAACCAACTGCTAAAAGTAAGGGATATTGCCTCTGCCACACTTTCGCCTTCCTAAGATCATGTGAGTGCATCCAGTTGGCTGATCCCATGGAGATTCCAGACTCCTGGCTTCAAGGAAGTCTAGGAAATGTATTTTCAGCTTTCTAAATTCTTCAGTCAGATTGAAGAAAAAAGTTGAAATTGAGTTGGGTCAGCCAATCAACCTTCTCAGCACAGAGGACATAGGATGGGTGGGAGATCATGAGTGCCTGAATTAACCTAACAGTAGTTGAAATGAAGAGGAAGGAATAGATTATTGTAACATTTTTTAGTGAGATACTTCTTGGAATAAAACAGAGGATTCAGGTAGACTTTGGGTTTCTTATCGGAACATGAAGGCATTAACTGAAATAGAGAATGTATAAAATGGAATCATGGCAGACTGTGAGTTCTCCATTTGCAAAACATTTTAGTCAGATAAAAGGATAAATCATTGACTTTTTTAGTTACCTATTGCAGTGTAACATCTTACCCCCGCACTTACTGGCTTAAAATAACACACATTTAGGCTGGGCGTGGTAGCTCACGCCTGTAGTCTCAGCACTTTGGGAAGCCGAGGTGGGCGGATCACGACGTCAGGAGATTGAGACCATCCTGGCTAACACAGTGAAACCCCATCTCTACTAAAAAAATAATACAAAATAATTAGCTGGGCACGGTGGCGGGCACCTGTAGTCCCAGCTACTCGGGAGGCTGAGGCAGGAGAATGGTGTGAACCCGGGAGGCGGAGCTTGCAGTGAGCCAAGATGGCGCCACTGCACTCCAGCCTGGGTGACAGGGCGAGACTCCGTCAAAAATCCAAAAACAAAAACAAAAACAAAAAAAAACCCCACATTTATTATCTCACAATTTCTCTGGATCGAGAATCCAGACACAGCTTAGCTGGGTCCTTGGCTCCAATCTCTCCATGCCCTTAATTGAGGATGTTTGGTACATTTGTACTGCCGTTAGATTCTGTTGTCACAATCTGCCTTTCTTCCTGAGATATTGTGGCCTCTTACTGATTTTTAAAACTTCCATACATTACTAATGGTTCACCCTTTGTGCTATAAACATTATGGGTTTTGACAAATCTATTATGTCATACATCCTCTGTTAAAGGGAAAACTTTTACCGGATTAAGTGTAAAAGAGTTTAATGGAGCAAAGAACGATTCACCAATTGGGCAAGGGTAGGCTCAGAGACTCCAGCACAGCCATGTGGTGAAAGATTTATGGACAGAAAAAGGAAAGTGATATACAGAAAATGGAAGTGAGGTACAAAAACAGCCAGATTGGTACAGTTTGGCGTTTGCCTTATTTGAACATGGTTTGAACAGTTGACTACTTTTGATTGGCCAAAATTTAGTGATTGGCACAAAAGTAGACCTCAGTCTGTATAAAATTCCATTTAAGTTATAGTTCATGATGTGCAAAGAAACTTTTAAGCCAAACTTAAAATATGTAAGGAGGCTCTCCTTACCTATTTGTAATGTAGCTCTTTCAAGCTGGCATCTTTCACTTTGCAGTATGAATGTAAAGTTCCTCCAAGTCTTTGTGTGACTTACTAACTCCTTTCTTTGTGTCACTGAATAATACATTGCATAGATGCGCTACAGTTTGTTTAGCCTTTGACTTATTGAAGGATATGTTGGTTGCTTCCAGATTTTGGCAATTATAAACAAAGCTACTGTAAACATTTGCATGCAGGATTTTGTGCTTCAAAATTAATTCAATTTATTATTCAATTGAATTATATACCTAGAAGCACAATTGTTGAATTTTATGATAAGACTGTGTTATCTTTGTAAGAAACGTACAAGCAGTCTTCCAAAGTGGCTGCACCATATTGCATTCTCATCAGCAGTGAATGAGGGTTCCTGATGCTTTTGGTCCTCACTAGCATTTGACAATGTCAGCGTTTTTTTGAATTCAGAAACTGTTATAGTTTTAATTTGAATTTCTCTGATAACAAATGATGTTAGGTATCCTTTGCCATCTGCACGTCTTTGGTGACGTGTGTGTTTATATTTTGGCCATTTTAAATTTCGGTTGTTTGTTTTCTTGTTGAGTTTTAAAGTTTCTTCGTATATTCCAAATGCAAGTTCTTTATCAGGTATGTGTTTTGCAAATACTCTCTCCCCATATCTAGCTTATGATTTTATTCTCTTAACACTGTGTGTAGCAGAGCAGATGTATTTACTTTTAATATAGCCTAATTTATCAACTTTTTGTTTCATAAATTATGCATTTGAGGTTACATCTAAAAACTCACCACCAAATCCATGGTCACATTCTCCTAGATTTTCATCTGCAAATATTGTAGTTTTGCATTTTACTTTTAGGTCTATGATCAACTCTAAGCTCATTTTTTGAAAGGTGTAAAGTCTACGTCTAGATTTTCTTTTCATATTGATATTCAACTGTTTCTGCACCAATTATTGAAAAGACTATTACCCAATGACTTACCTTTCCTCATTTGTCAAAGAGCAGTTAATTATATTTATGTGAATCTATTCTGATCTCTCTATTTTAGTATATTTATTTATGCATTTTCCCCGTAGTGCTGATAGGGACAGGTGGCAGAGATATTCCAGGCAGAAAAGGGCAGGGTCCTTGGTGAGAGCTCCCCTCCACTCAAGCCTGGAACTGTGGCCCAGAGTGAGAACTTTACATCCCTGTTTTCCCATTGGAATGTTGCCTTTTCCAAAACCACCCCTCACTTGCTCTGCCCCCAATTCTGTACCTGTAAAAACCCCAGGCTCCACCAGCAGAGAACAGAGAAGGGGAGAAGAGGAAAAGCAGCTGGACGTCGGGGACTGCGGTTTGACGTCGGAGAGAAGCAGCTTGACTTCAGAGGGACAGCTTGACCGCTTTGCTTTGGAGAGGAGTCTGGCTGGGGATGGCTGGACTCCAGGGGAAGATCGTCTTCCTGTTCCATCCCTTTTCCAGCTCCCCTCCCACTGAGAGCCACTTTCATTGGCAATAAAATCCTCCATATTCACCACCCTTCAATTCGTTCATGCGACCTGATTTTTCCTGGATGCCAAACAAGAGCCCAGGTGCCACAGGTGTGGATACTAAAGGCTGTCACACTGACCCTTTGCCCTTGCTGGCAGAGAGCAACCACTTCATGCAAAAAGGCAGAGGGCCCACTGAGGTATTTAACACTTAAGCTGTCCGTGGACAGCCAAGCTAAAAGAACACTGTAACACACTCCCTCTGGGGCTTCTGGGGTCCCTGGTATTCCTGACGAGACACTGTCATGGGGCCTGCAGGGAGTTTTGCTCCTGCCAACACCCAAAAGCACTCTTTCTGGCTCCTGCACCCGCTCACCTGCGTGCTTCCCCTTCCCTCAAGGGCTTGAGAGCTGCAGGCTGAGTAAGTAGGCACCCTTGTCACGAGGTCCAAAAAGGGATCAAGGAAAATTTCCTGTTTCAGTGCTTTGGCAAAAACTTGAGTCAATGATACAGAAAAGTTATGAGAGTTGAAATCCTTGTCTAGTTCCCACTCATAATTCACTGATTTTTATTTCTGTAGTTTATAATCTGAGGTTAATTCTATCCAATAATATTTTCATTGTAGTAATTGGGTAATTTTTATATTTAGATATTGCTTTTGGTTTCTTTTTTGTAACGTCCAGTTCTCCATTTTTTTGGTACATATAAATAAATATAATAACTCTTTTAATGTTATTATTTGATAATTTAATCATCTCTGTCAATTCTATGTTTCTATTGACTATTTCCCCCCCAATCGTAAGTCTAATTTTCTTGTTTGTATGTGCAGTAGTTAAAAAATTCAAATTAAAAATATTGCAAATTTCTGGCCAGGTGTGGTGGCTCATGCTTGTAACCCCAGCATTTTGGGAGGTGGAGGCAGGCAAATCACTTGAGGTCTGGAGTTCTCCAGCCTGGCCAACAAGGTGAAACCTGTCTCTACTAAAAATACAATTAGCCAGGCATGGTGGTGGGTGCCTATAATCCCAGCTACTCAGGAGTCTGAGGCTTGAGCCCAAGAGGTGGAGATTGTAGCGAGCCAGGATCGCCCAACTGCACTCCAGCCTGGACAACAGAACAAGGCTCTGTCTCATATACATATATATATATATATCTGATATATATATATGTGTGTGTGTGTGTGTGTGTGTGTATGTGTGTGTATATATATGTGTGTGTGAGTATATATGTATATATATGTGTGTGTATATATATGTGTATATATATGTGTGTATATATATGTGTGTGTGTATGTGTGTGTGTGTGTGTGTGTGTGTGTGTGTGTATATATATAGCAATTTAGAATATTTACCTTCTAGAATATTTTCTGGCCAATAGATAAGTGACTTCTAGATTACCTGTATGCTTTTGAGGCTTGCTTTGAAGCTGCTTTTTTGGTGGGTTTGGAATAATCTTAACTCTAAGGCTAAGTTAGTTATATTTCTACGATGTGGCCATTCTGCTGTGTCTACTATAGATCCCATGTGCTCAATACATTTTAATTTAAATTATTCTTGGCCGTCTGTGTGCTATGGGAATTACTAACCCTACACTTTCCAGGTAATTGTTTTTTCCTCAGAAATATTTCTTGCTAGGTGGCATGGGTTTTCATTCTATGCATGCACAGATTAGTGGTCTGCTAATAACTCAGTGACACACTCTGATAATGTCTGTTCCTCAAATCCTAGATATCTGGCCCTCTCCTTGTCTCCTAGGGATGCTAGATTTCATTTTGCGCTGCAATGCAGCAGTTTTCTCCAGTTTGAAGTATCAGCAGTGGCAAAATCTTCTTCATTTTCTTTTGTTTTCTTAACAGTCACATAGTCCTATGATACAAATTGGCCAATGTTTGAGTTCTTTCTTAATATTTTTCAGCTTTCTAGTTGTTTCCAGTTAGAGGACAATTTGGTGCTTTGTTTTTCTCCCACAGTTGGAACTGGAAATTGCCCTGAGCACTTCCTTTGAACTTCCTTCACGTATCAGGAAAATTTTGTCCATTATGAATGCAATTGTTCAAAATTTGAAACAATAGCTCATTTCTCATTTTTAAAAATTATTGCATAGACATGAGACTTATATTCTGTAAATAGTGATTTTAAATAGTAATGTAAGAACATCTGTATTCAATGAAATCCATTTTCTGGATAAAGTTAAATAGACATTCTGAATTTAGGGTGTGCTATTGCCGGAGTTTCTGACATTCAAAGCCAGAGTAGTTGCGGAACTATCTACAGCAATGGAGTTTTCCTTGAACAAGTACAGCTCAAAAATGGAATTAATATTGTATTTGGAGGGCTGATGAAAACAGTAATTTTTAAAATTACACAGTATATAGTAAACTATCAATAATTGGTAACTTTTATTGCATAATTGATAGGATGATGGTGTTTAGGAAAATAAACCTTAATTTTCAAACAAAAGCTAAATTTTGTTTTGTCTGTTCTGTTACCATTCTTTATTTCTTCCTCACTCTTTCCCTTTCCCTTTCCTTCCTTTTTCCTTTCTGTGCTCCTTTAATGAAAGCTGTGGATTGGTTCCTTTGTGCCTCTTCTGTCTACAGCCTGTGAAATTAATTAAACTTTGCAAATTTAGCATGAATTCCAACTGAAAGATGACACTTTTTTACTTAGTATGCTATTTTCCCCAAATACAAGCAATGCAAAGTAAAGCTTCACCTGAGTGGTGAATAGAAAAAGCTCTGAGACCAGCCTGGCCAACATGGTGAAACCCCATCTCTACTAAAAATACAAAAATTTTAGTAGAGATGGATCTTCGGATTTAGCAATCCAGTACTCCCATTGTTCTTTGAAGAGGCCGTCTTATACTGTACAAGCCCCTTTATCCTGCCCTGAGTAAGTTCTCTGCCTTGTTAACTCTAGGGTCCCTCAAGCTCTAGTGTCCTATATTGACGGTCTTTTAGATTGGAGAAAGATGGGGCAGGCACATCCGCATTAAATCATATACTTGCTACAACACAGTTATGTATGAACTCAGGCATTGGATTTTCCACTCTTTCATAAGGTCTCTTTGAAGTTTCAGTGTGGTTATCAGTCCTGGTGAAGATCTATCAAAGCCTTATATTCTTTAGTTTCCTTCACAGCATTGGGAGAAGTTGACTTTCTTCATTAAAGATCATTTATTCTGTAAGAATCTTAGTCATAATTTATTGTTAATTGAATTTTTGATTATTGAATAAATTCATTCATGCATATATTCATTTCATGCGCTCATAAACTGTGTACATTATTGTAATGTAAAAATAATGAAAAAACATAAAATACAAATTCCTCAGAGGAGTTTGTATTTTACGTACTCTATATTAACTTAAAATAAATTTTGTTTCATTCTATAGGGATTTCCAAATCTCCCTTTCTTTTTCTGTGTGTGTGTGTGTGTGTGTGTGTGTGTGTGTTCCTGTCAAATTTATGTCACAATATTTTTACCCTACATTTCAATACTTGATCAAATAATGTCACATCCAATCTATATTTCTTATTATCTCATACAAAAATTCTCTAGAGCTGCCTTATAAAATTTAAAATGATTCTGACATATTTTGAATAAAATTGATCAAAAATGTCTTTTTTCTCCTAAAAATGTTTGACATCATTTCTATGCACCTATAAATGTGATCTATATATGTATGTGTACATATATATACATTTTTATATATTATGGATATATGTAAAATATTTCATGTATATGATATATAACACATACCTATATGTATATATCCATACACACATATATATTATTTACATATCTATTTTTCTATAGCATTTGCCTCTTTCTAAGTTAAAATTTATCATGTTAAAATAACTATTTATTTATAAACAGCATTTAGTAGTGTTTCAAATGAGAAAATGATGGCATTGCCCTAAGTGAATTAATTCCCCCTAACACAACCAGTCTGGTGTTTCAAAAAGTGTATAGTTCTCCTGAGTGTGTTAATGTTTTTAAATTCAATAAGAAATATCTGGCAAATAAAAATGCAAATAAACCATACATATGATTTATAAAATAATCCTATTCCATTGAAAACATTTTTTCTGCTTAAGAAACTGAAGATCTGCACAGAATTAAGAGTTTAGAATATATTTTTCTATTTCCTAATCAAACTTTATATTGTTTATATTAATTATAATGAGTCTCAGAACCATTTACAATAAGCTGTTGTTACTTTCTTTCATATTAATGCATTCTCTCCAAAATGTTACATCTCCTCTTTTCTGCTAATCTGTTTTTCCACTAATTATTTACATTTTTCCTAGAATGTTCAACATAGTAAGGGACTATATATTCAAAATGATAACTTTGTATTATGAGGGATTCTGAAAGCATATTCCTCATACTGCAGAGTTATACATATACACATATATATTTTAATATATGCATATATATGTATCCACATTAATCCTAGGGGAGTATGGGTTGCAATTTACATGGAATGAATTTTAAAATTGGAAGTAGTTTTGAAAGAAAGGCAACATATCACATCCTACATGCTAAGCATGGATAGACAGCACTAGAACATAAAATGTCATAAAATAATTTTTAATTATTTGCAATCTAAATAACCAAATTGTTAACTAAAGCAACATAGTAATTAACAATTGTATTGAATACAAGCAATAAATGAGTAAAGCCTCAAAATGTGGCATTCTTTTTATACTGAATCCTTGATATCCCTGATACATTGATTCTAACTCCTAAATCCTCAATACACATTATTTTGTCATTACAATATTTTGTGCTATATTATTTTCAATAATATACTCATATGAGCATCAGTTTTCTAATTTCTTAGTGCCACACATTACATCCTGAGCTATCGTACATAGTCTTCTCTACCTGTTCTTACCAAGCTGGTGAGAATGCTTTTCACTTTTCCTCCCAATACTTTGTTAAGACCCAAGGTTAGTTTGAGATTTAAGGAAGGCATTCTTGGAATAGGAAAAGGATATCTCTGTTTTCTGTGGCTAAGCACATTGAACTTCTACTGTGAATTTTGAGGAAAGGTTTCAGCTATTGATAAAGTGTGACTTTATTTTTTATTAGGTGGTGCTATTCCACATACAGAACATATATACATTTACAAGTTCTGTATACATATGTTTACATATTTATACATTTCCTCAGGGGCATTAAAACAAAAATAATTTGTTTAGGATAAACAAAATTCTATTGTCTGCTATTATCACATAACACTAGTAGTCCATTTTGTATATTAACAATGAGTAGGATCTATCTATACATCATATATATATTACTTATATATAGTATATGTATATATAATAAGGTTATTACAAACCCTACTCTGACTTAATCTTTTTTCTATTTCATTTTTTTCTTTCAATATTCTAACGTTTGTTTGCTTTAAATTTATCTAAGTTTAGTTATAAAAATCAAGCTAATTTATTTAAATATTAAAAAATTATACTTATAAATCTCAAATTCTTGCCTCAAGTATCTAACATGAGCCTCACCTGCAGATTACACCAAATGACAATGTGGGTACAAATAAAATAAGAGACAAAGTCTATGCTTCCTAATTATTGGATTTCACAATGTTTAAATGATGACAAGTCGAGGTCTCACAATCTAAGAGGAATTCAGATATGGTTGCTGTTCAGGTTTTGTCATAATGTCTTTGTTTCTAAAAAGAAAAAATAAAATTAATTTTAAGTAAGTCATTTTGTTTGATGAAAGAGTAACTCTAGATATTATTTATGGGGAAGTTATTAAAATGGATGTAGAAAGTTAATGAATTTAAATGAGTAATATTATCTCTATGTCTTAATTATAGCCAATGCATTTACACATCATCAAGAAGTTGATAAAAAATGTTTGTGGCCAATATGAACATTACAATAAGTTATTTAAAATTATTTTTATTAAATTTTTATTTTGCTTACATAATCCAGAAAATTTGACTGATTGCACTGATCTCTTAAGTCTCTTAAATTCACTTATGGGCTGAAATGACAGCTGAGCTAATGAAATTTATGAATACTGCCTCAAAGCATGAGCAGTGGGTGCCATAGCCAATTTCTTCCATTTGCATAGTTTCTATATAATTTTGTCTCTAAACTGTAAACAGCAGTTACAATGGGCCATAACTTATTTTTCTACCATAGGAGATCACTGAAAGTATAAAATACAAGTTGTAAAATATGCATTCAAGTCAAACATGTAATGTATGTAATGCCTAGCCACATTAATACTTCCACTGTCAGGCATTCCTAAGGGGTTGCATCAACTATGATGCATAATCAGAAATGTAAAAATTATTCTACATTAACACATGAATTATTCATGTTTGCAGCAATAAATAGATGTTTTTTTCTTACCATCTGAATTAGTAAAATGAGAAGTAACATGTTTGATAATTAAGATTCCTGTGTTATTATGTTGGTGTACCATTAATACATAAAGTTAATCTGTAGAACTGGTAATACATGCGTGATTATGATTTATGAGCATAAATCAATTTACAGTTTATGTAGTATTGATTTATTTCAAAAGAAAAATAACTAAGAAATTATCTCAGAATTATTTATATAAGGAAAAACTTACATAACACATAGCAAAAACATTTCATTGAATCCTTTTTAAAAATGGAACTATCTAAATATTCTGAATCTGTAGTCTGTTATGGAACTGGTGCATACATATTTTGAAAACTTCCACAGGTAAATGGTAACCATAATCTAGGTTGGAAACCACAGCCCAGACATAGTGTCCAAAAGAGAAATTCTTAGGTGGAATGGTCTTGAATAAGATATAAAATATAATCACATGTAGGAGACCACAAGAAGAGGGGTGACTTTATCTTGGCCAGAAACAGATAGTCTGGCTATCATTGCAAGCTGCCAGGAAAATAAAATATTCATTTAGTACAATAATAAGACATTTTTTTCCTGGTGAAAAGAAATCAAGGAGCAATTATATGCTTGAGGCTACCGCAGATATTGCAGCTTCATCTGCCAAGGGTCCCTATCTCTAAAAGCATAATACAGTAGTTATCGACCATATGTTTAATGAATTGAATATATCTGAAACAGTGCCAATAGTTATGTACATTCTACAGAAAAAGACTGCTGGGCAAACATGATAAGTGCCAACAGAAGTTTGGAAATTTCGCAATATATTACAAAGTTTTCCAACTATGAATTAAATAAGCTTTAATTATTAACTGTAAGACTCAGAAATCTGGAATTATACGTTTTATGAGAGTAAAATATAGCATTTCTTTTATGGTGAAATGAGATTTTCATAGAAGAAGTAGGTTGGGAATTTTAGTAATTTCCATTAATTTACCAAACAATCCAGGGCACAAGTTCTCCCCAACCATCTTCATAAGAAGATAACCTTTTTTTCCTTAGCCCCACTGGAAATGGACCAAAGAAAATAGAAAAACTGTGAAATGTGGATTTGCTTTGTGGGATAATGTGGTTATATGATTTAATTTTACATTGCTGTGCTATATTTTCTCACTTTGATTCTTTTAAAGATTGGAATGGGCTACAAAAGGCATTTCAGCCCCAATATTACAAAAAATGTTTTTGAGTTTGACAGGGTAAAAAGTACAAAGCTACATGTGTAAAATTAGTAATTTCATTAAGTTATTCATACCAATAAAGTATAGCATATATTAAGCATTTATTGATTATTGAGAAAATGAGTTCTTTAGAAATTTAAAGTAAGGAGCTGTTTCAGAGAGTTGAATATATTTAAATACATATGTCTAATTAAACATTCGAACTGGGAATCCGATAACAGGTAGGACTAAAGTAAATGTTTCTTATTAAATTGTCACCCTTCCCCTTTTTATGTTCTAATGAATAAAAAAATTCTTTCACCTTTTGTATGTTTAAATTAATGTAATTACTGAGATGATGACCAGAGGCGTAGGGTGAGCCTAAAATCTACCAACCGACTTCGGTAGAGTCGGTTCAGTTTTTGTCCTTTATTTTCTTGGGTTACAATAGTAATCTAATCTATACATTTGTGATGAAAAATATATAAGATGTGACTCTGTTAATTGGGGCTAATCCTAAATTTTGTGGGCAACAGTGATACCCCACATTTTAATCAAAATGATTATATCTCAAACATAGTCAATCTCTTTATCTTAACTACCTATACAGTAATCCATCAGGTTGCCAACAACACTAATAAATTATACACTTGTATAGATAGATAGACAGTTTGATAAATAGTATTGACTTGCTATTTTGACACTGTCCCATCATACTGCTGTAATCGTATTTTCACAGTTTAAATGCACCCTCTTCAAAAAATTGTTAGATTCAATATTCTCCCCTGGCAATCCCCACAGATTTTTAAAAAATGTTTCTTTTAAAATGTTAAAAATATTTGGACTTCAAAAATAACAATGTTTCAAAGAGAAAATAGTAGCCAATAAAAACTATAAAGGAACTATTAGGAAAACAGTAACCATCAGAGAAGATTGCCTTTATGGTATGTTTTTAGTTGAATCTGTGTCTCTAAGGTTATGACCTCAGGCCTTGATAAGCAAGCTATGTTTTGATTGATAGCTTCTTTCTTTTATCCTACAAGTATGTATCATGGACCTATTATGTGCTTATATTCTAGTGGGGTGACACAAAATAACTCCATTAGTCCACAAATAAATGTGGAGTTTCTCAGTGAGAAATCTGTAAACAAAACAAAACAAAAGGAAAATAATACAGATCAGTTCCAGCTAGGAAAATGGATTCCTCTTTGTTTTCAATCAATCATTAATATATTTTTACTAATGATTTTTCAATAAGATCGTGAGTATTTGATTATGATGATGGATATGCTTTGGCTGTGTCCCCTCTCAAATCTCATGTTGAATTGTAATAATCCCCACTTGCCAAAGGTGGGGCCAGGTAGAGATAATTGAATCATGGGGACAGTTTCCCCCATACTGTTCTCATGGTAGTGAATAAGTCTCTTGAGATCTGGTTTTATAAATGGGAGTTCTCCTGCACAAGCTCTCTTGCCTGCCGCCATGTAAGACATGACTTCCGCCATGATTGCAAGGCCTCCCCAGCCATGTGGAGCTATGAGTACATTAAACTTCCTTTTCATTCTAAATTACCCAGTCTCGGGTATGTCTTTATTAGCAGCATGAGAATGGACTAATACAAAGATGATAGTTACGGCACATGGCTTTCTTATTTTCTGATAGAAAATAATATTTCTGAAGAGAATTCTGAGATTTGTGAGGACAGTATTTTTTTCCCAGTGATTAAGTCAATGATTGACATTTAGTAGATTCTCAATAGTGTTTGTTTGTTGAATAAATGGATCTAGTGTGTTTTGTGATAAATAAAATACTCAGCTATGTACATGTGAAGGGCATCCATTTTTATTTTATAATGTCAATAAGAAATTTCAATTATATAATAATTCACCCTGTTGTTAACAATCATAACAATATAAAATGAAAGTAAAAGGAAAGTTTTTTACATAAAATATGTATTCAAACTGGTTCAATAAATTCTATCATCAAATTCTATGTTTATAGAATTTGTTATTGTACTTTAAGAAGTTCTTAGAAACTTTGGACATAATTATAGCTTTAGAAGTCAAAGTGGACTATGGCTGTGACACAATATATTATTAGTATCCTAAGTAGCATACCCTAACTACCTAGACTTTTAAAAATTGTTTTGTAAACTTAAATATGGAATACAGTGAAAATGTTTTGCATGCCAAAAGTATATGTTGTGTGAGCTTTTAAGTTAGCTAAAAATGAGCTAAACAAATGTAGAAACAAATATTCATTATTCTGCAATAAAATGCAAGATCATAATACACTAACTATTCTTTGCAGTCTATGTTAGTCTTGTATTCATCCTTATTCATATAAATGAACTTATTACTGTTATGAAATGTATAATGCATTACAATGTATGATTCTAAAACTTTTCTGAATTTCCATTTATAATGCAGCTTCTAACTCATTTTTAATTGCTTAGAAAACTATGACTAAAAAGAAAAATGCTCCAAGAGGCTCTTTTATTTCAAGTCACTGACAATATGAATTCTCAGTGTAAATATTCATTATTCAATGACAATCAAGACAGAGGAATGTTCAACCAGATCGCAATTCTCATTCAGTATCTCACACTGCCTCTGTAAAAGCTTTTAAAACATGGATATTTAATCATTGAGAAGATGTTGCAGAGGCTGAATATTTGAGAAAGAATATTTGGATATTAGAATGCAAGGATGCGTTATTATGCAGTTATTTTTCGTGAATAAGTCACTCGTGCATTTTTAGTGTTCTAATTTCAAGGCTATAATTCCTTTGTAGAGCTGTATTTAGTAAGTGCAAGCCTGAAAGTTCTGTCAAATTTAAAGAATTGTCACATAAAAACTCTTCAAGTATACCATGGCTACACTCCACTGAGGCTTATGTTCATTTTATCATTTAATCACATAATTTCAAAGTAAGCAAAAAATACTTTTAATTCTCTAGACTGTGGATTTCCAAATTGCTGATGACCATTTCCTTGCCCATATTTCAACCATATATAATGTTGCTGTATGTCGTGTAGAACATAAACTGTGGAAAATCTAGGTACATACATATCTATTCAAAACCAAGGATAGTATTGGTGCACTTTGAAATCCTTAAGATGAATTTCTAAAAATAATAAATTATTTGTAAAATACCATGTGACCCCAAGGAAACCAGATAGTAAAATGTGGTGCAGCCTTTGATTTAATGAGGAATCTTTTTATCACATGAATAAATCTCTTCCAACACATCTCTTCTGTAAAACTGATATTTTTTAAAGGAGAAATATTGAAAGACAGAGACATGTATCTTAAAAGCAGAACTGGGTGATTCTAAGATCTGGGCCATGTTGCAGCCATTGCAACAAAATCCTCCACGTCACCTTCTGTGAACCTGAGAGAGGCACCTAATAATTTATGCAAATGCATTATCAGGAAACTGCTACCCAATTGCTGCTACCAGTGAATAAATCAGGCCTCCAAGGTGTATTTCCTATTTTCTCTCTGATATTAGACAGAAATTTTGATGCAATGGGAGGGTAGGTGATGCATTCCAGCACCATCCAATGGGAATCAAAAATTAAATTTAACATTCGAAAAAATTAGATTATTTATCACATTTTGGCCCTGCTGCATATTTACTGTTATTGAAATTCAGGCTGCTTATTGTGATCTGCAACTTGAGAGCAGGTTTGCAAGGAGTTTCCAAATAGAATTATGTGTACAACTATTAAAATAACCCACACTATTTGCTACAGTGGGCTTGGTGTTTGCTCTCTGTAGCTCATTTGTCAGTAATCTCCATCCCCTTTTGCACCTATTTATATTTTTACCCTGAAGCATTTGTTTGAAAACAATAGGAAGACATCAAATTTTAAAAATTATGCTGGAATATTAAAGTACCAGCATTATATAAAGCTGTGGAATCCTATATATGGTATGTAGAAATCCATTTAAATATTTGCTAAATTAGAAGTAATGTGAAGTGAACTTTGGTTCAGGTTTTTGAGAAACATACATAAAAATAGTAGAAGAAAATGCATTTTATCAGCTGGAAACTTCCATGACTTTAATTTTGATGGTGGTAATGCAGATGAGCAATAATGGACTATGTGACTGGACACATGCACCTTTCATGCCTGTGTCAAATGAGAATATTGATGAAGTTACTTCCATTACTGAAAGCTTGTGACTCATCTCTTCCCCATTCTTACTTTGAAAATTCAATTTGAAAATATTTGAGAGAATCTTATAAAATGCAACCCACAATTTTTTTGCCCTATAAAAATACTTTATCTCAATACAGAATGAGATAAAATGATGTATGAAATCCTGA